>NC_000023.11:20925366-21228397 GCF_000001405.40 Homo sapiens
TGAGATTCAGCATCACAAAATGAGGGACCATAGCAAAGTCCTCCTTGTTACTAGTTATTTTGGATAAACAACTATTATCATGAGTTGGGGATATTGGTGCCCAAGAAAGTGATTTCAAAAGGTTCTAGAGGAGGAAAGTTTCAATATGTGTGCATGCTTTGAATAATGGAGAACAACATTTTGGGTAGGAGGTCACAAACTTGAGAGTAGCTCCTCCTTCTACGTAGACTAAAATAGCTTGAAGTCCATTCCGCTGCAGCATGAATAATGATGTGGCATTGTGACATAGTCTGCCTGGTGTTTATGTATGTATTGATTGTATAGCCACAAGTGAAGGACTGTGGTTGTAATGTTAATTTGATATATGAAAAAGCTCTAAAGAGTTTAAATGAATAGAAAATGCATTCCATTCAAAGTCTCCGATTGTTATTAAACATGTTATTCGTGAATCAAATCTGTGAGTCTAGTGACAAGTAAGATGCAAAAGCATGTTGAGGAAATTTTGAAATATATTCAAAGTTATATGAATGCAAGAAGAATGGTTCAGAGCATGTGCACTGGAAAATTATTTCCAGTTGTGTGCTCTTGAGCATGTTACTTAATCTAAGATTAAGTTTTTGTATTTATAAAATCAAGATAATAATGGTATCTGACAGGTGTTTGGTGAGAATTTAAAGATATAGTCCATTTAAAGCACTTAGCATAGTCCTTAACACATGGTAACCATGCAATAATTTGTAGTTATTCCTTTTATTATTATTATCATTATTATGGCTATTACTACTACTATGTTTTAATGGCTTAATCACCAACATCATCACTAAAGGCAATTTCGATGGATGTAATTTTAGGAAAAGGAAGACCAACACAGAAGGAATGTATGAGATGAAAGAAAAAATGTTAACCATATAAAATGCTCAACATGTAGGCAAAATCGGTCATATATTGATATCAATAGTGTGTATTTTGTGGGGTTAAAAATTGAGATAGAATCATGTGGTTGTATGGTTAATAAAAAGTATAGAAATTATAAGTGGGGAGTGATTGGCATTCAAGTTCTAAGGTCCTTACATTATTTGGGAAGAAGATAAAATTATTTATTTACTTTAGACTTGTTAAATAAGCATATAAAAATTCTAAGGTCACCACAAAAGAATAGAAATACAGTATATCTTCTGAACTACTAGAAGTAAAAATTAGAATATGAGTGAATAAAAGCAAAAATAAAACTCAAGCAATGCTTATGAAGAAAGTAAGAAGGGAGAATTTCAAAGGCATTATGACTATGTGTCCTGCTTCTACCAGGTGGGCAACATACTAAATAAAGGTTACATTTTTATGATACACTAATAATTGTTGAGTACAGTGGCTTGGTTCTGAAGTTCAAGCATTAAATGTCTCATATAATCCAGGTATCTGGCTTATGTGCAAGTATGAACACAGGCAATGAATGTTGAGCTGCTCCACAAGTTCTCCTTTACCTGCCCTTCCCAGTTGGATAAATTTTGCTGTTGCTTTGAAGGAATAAGGCTGAACTGAGTTGGATACAACTGGACCTGAAGCAGCCCACAAACTCTGGAGAAGTTGAGGCTAGAGAATTCCAGCTCCTTAGATACTCTGTGTTTTAGGGCTTACTCTTAGGATCCTAACTGGAAGCAACTCCTAATTCTGCCCTAAAGAGGATCTAAGTTATTAAAGAGGAACCTCTTGGTTATATTCTGACCTGGGTTAATGGGATTCTCTAGGTCTGTGCCAGTCACGTATTGAACTAGCATGCTGATTCACTCTGCACTGCTCTTTCCCTTGTTAAAAGTCAGATAAAAGAATTAATCTCAAGAATTGTATTCAGATCAGTGTATACTACTTGAAAGTAGTGAACCCCACTCATTACTTCTTGTCTCTGGTCTTGTGTATTGACTGTCCTCCCTGGTCCGCCATTAGAATATAAGATCCATGAAGGTAGGGATTTTTGTTTGTTTCATTCACCACCATATCCCCAGTTCATAGAACAGTAGCTGACACATAGTGGGTGTTCAATAAATATTTGTCAATAATTAATGAATCATATAGCTAGCATTCTGTTTGGGAAAGGCAACACCATGAGATGCTAGAGCTAAAAAAAAAAAAAACCTTGGAAAGCTTCTGGTGAAACAGTGGTAGTTTACTTTGCCAAGAAGTTGGTCAACACAGTCTCCCAGAGTGAGTTCAATCTACATCATGGTCCTGCTGTCCACATGGTACTAAATGAGGCCTCACTCATGTATTTCTCCAGCCCATGACCATCTGTCAAGCACAAGGCCGATACACAGAGATGTTATTCACATTCCTAGCTAGATATCTCATATGCACTTAAATACAACACACCAATTGGTCTCATTAGCTGATGCTTTTGAGGATATTAATGAGAAAAACTGATTAATGGCATAATTGATCAACTATATATCAAATCAAGTTTTTCACTTTGGCTGCCAGGATAGCACCTGCTCAAGCCCAAATGGTTGGCCTATTTTTGTCTTACTCTATTCCAGCCCATATTTCCTAATCTAATTTATGTTTCCCCTGGTCTTAGAGCTTTATTTATTTAACTATTTTTCTTGTGTACTTTCTGCAAGTCATTTCATGTTTTTTGTGGAATTAAGCACATTAGGAATAAAAGGAAGCAATTATGATCCTTTTCTGCAAACTTCCTTCCCTCCTTCTATCCTCTATTCTGTTTTTTCTGGCCCTCCCCTTTCTGGCATCTACAAGTAAGAACTTCCCTACTGGTTTCTCTAACTCTCTTGAGTCTTGCCCACACCTAGTTTATATTCCATAAAGTTGCCAAAAAACACTTTCTAAAATACATCCTTGGTAATGTTCTTTGCCTGTTATAACCTCTTCATTGATGACCCTCCACTCCCTAGGAATGAAATTCAGACTTCATTGTACAGAAATGAAGGCTAAACTCTGAAGATACGCCTCTTCATGCTTCTCCTCCCACATCCTTCAGTTGGACTAGATCAAATCTCTTTCACCCGCCTGGAGTGCTCTATGCTCTTCTACATCCACATGTATTCACATGAGCTGTCCTCTCTCTGTGGAAACTTTGCTTTGACTCATCAAGTTCTACAGCTTTCAGGACTCAGTTCACGTGTAACTAATGTCTCCTGGAAAGTGTTCCAAACCCCACTTGATCCTATTTCTTATAGAACACCTGTGCCGTCTATTTTCCTTTCCTATAGTCCTTATACCACAGTTGTACAATTATTTGTGTTCAGCTTTTTCTAATTTTCTGTGAGTTCCTCAACCACACTATATTATCTTCACAGTTTTTCCCAGAGACCTTTGAGGATTGCTTGGCACGTAGGAGATAATTGATATTAATGCTAAGCACAATGGCCAATATTTTTACAAGGTACTGTGTACTAAACACTGTTCTTCTATAATAACACTAGGAGATAGATATTATTGTTAAACACATGTTGTAGATAAGGAAACTGAGGCAAAGATATAGTAAGTAACTTACCCAAGGTAACCTGGTAGGTTCTGAGGCCAGGATCCAAACAATAAAATATGGCTCCAGAGCCACTTTTCTTAAAAACAAGGAGATTCCCTTACAGTAAATGATTCCAAATAAAGAAAATAGTCTTCAGAGAAATTAAGGTGTATGTCCAAGGCCAATAATGAATCACTAGTAAATATTCTAAGATAAACATAGATTAATTTTAAAAATCAGTGATGTTGTTGGATGATGGTTGTGATTGTGGTCTCCAAGTTGTGATTCCTCCAGGGTAATGAGTAGTTCTGATTGTTAGGTTATTAATAGACTTCTTAAGGCTGTCCATTCAAAGTGAAATAAATATTAAATTCTTAATAGAATTTAAGTTTAGGTTTCAATGGAACCCATAAAGGACATCCCCAAGAGAAAATGTTTCCTTCTGGTTCCAGTTCTGCACCTGAGTTGTGGCAAGTGTGGTGATATGCTTTGGCTGTGTCCCCACCCAGATCTCATCTTGAACTGTAACTCCCACAATTCCCATGTGTTGTGGGAGGAACCCAGTGGGAGGTGATTGAATTACGGGGGCAGGCCTTTCCTGTGCTGTTCTCATGATAGTGAATGAGTCTCAAGAGATCTGATGGCTTTAAAAATGGGAGTTTCCCTGCATAAGCTCTCTCTTTGCCTGCTGCCATCCATGTAAGACATAACTTACTCCTCCTTGCCTTCCACTATGGTTGTGAGGCCTCCCCAGCCATGAGGAACTATAAGTCCATTAAACCTCTTTTGTTTGTAAATTGCTTAGTCTCTGGTATGTCTTTATCAGCAGCATGAAAATGGACTAATACATGTGGTTATGAACATCACTTAACCTTTAGCCTCTTGGGAACATTATAAATGATTTGTAGTTGTCTTGGTCCTCTGAGAAACAGATGCCAAGATGAGATTAAATTTGTCAGAAACTTAGTAGGAGACTTGCTTGTGAGAGAAAACTGGGAGGCAGCTAGAAGAGGCTGGAAGAGCCATCAGACTGCAATGCAGGTCTAAACCCAAGTGAAGAACATAGGGAAGGAAGGAAGCTTGAGTGGAAGCATCTTAATCTGTAATGCAGTTATAAGATAGACTGGCAATACTGTAGGGGAATCCTTGTGCTTGTCACCCATCAGAGGAATCCTCTCAGGAATATGCTCACTTTGGTACGCTTGCTGTCCTTAGTCATTAGCTGTGAGGAGCCCCTCCAAGCTGTCATTACCTGAGAAGAGTTGCTTTGGAGCAAAAGGCAGATGGATTACAGAATATGACAACTGGGACTGCTAGTCCACTGAAATCCTCAGAGTAGAAGATCTAAGATGCATTCTCTTGGCCACCACACATTTTACTAGCCTACTGTCTTTGAAATCAGTGAAAGTTGTTATTATTAAGTTTTGCTCTTGAGTCACAAAAGTGACTTATAAGCTCTGTTCTTCCAAGCATAGTGGGATATTTTTTTATTTTGAGATATTATGAGATTCTTTTTATTCAGAACACATTAAAATCAAAGGAACTGACTTGACAAAGGACAAAAGAACTACTATATTAAAATTTAACTGTATACCTTTGGGTAAATTAGTTAATATATCTATTGTTGGATTTCGGTTTAAGTGCAGTTAACAAATGAGCATTTCCCTTTAACAGTTCCTGAAGTGGAGAAGATAGGTAAGAGAATGGGTGGGGGACATTGGGAAGCAAGTGTTTTCATAAACACCACAGAAAACGTCAGCACTCTACTTCTAAACCAGACCACCTTCTGAGACTTGACTTCATCTATCACTCTCTGATTGCATATTCTATATCTCCACTCTCTTATTATGCATGTATTAAATTTGGCAAACCTTTTAAGAAATATAGGTAAGTAAATCAAGCAATATTAAAACTATGAAATATTATGACCTCAAGATAATCACTGTTAACATTTTGGTGTCAACTTCCTAACATTTTCCAATGAAAATATATGCATTTTCAAATTAGAATAACACTGTAATTACTATTAATATTTTGCAATATACATTTTCACTTCTATGTTATGAATATTTAGTAAATATTAGGTATCTGTCGCCAGTTTTTATGACTTCACGGTATTCATACTTTTCATGTATGTACTACAATGTATTGAAACAATTTCCTATTGTAAGCCATTCAGACACAATAGTTTCTGGTTCTTCACTATTTATAAACAATTCAGTCATACATATCTTGTGAATTTGTTTTTTGTAACTTGTCTGATTTGTTTCTGAAGACCAGTTTCTCAACATAGAATTGCTGGATCAAAAAATATGAAATTATTTAAGGAAACACAATAGGATACAAAGCACATTGAGGTTATGCCATGAGTGGTGGTCAATATTGGCAAGAAAAAGGTTAGTTTGACCTGTGGATTTCCCATTTTTTTGAGGAATCTAAAGGATTTAGTGCTGCCTCATTTTATTTCAAAAAATTGATCCCCCCTTCCCTTCTAGTGGCACCAGGGGAGGATTCTCAGAACCTTGTGAAGATGTGCATTTTCTTCAGGGTAGAGCTAGAATGCTTGGGAAGAACAGAGGTAGAAAGACTAAAGTGATCACAGGAAAAAGAAAAAAAAAAGTTTGGGGGAAACACAGTAAGAGAAAATGAGGTCTCCAAAGTGCCATCTCAGGCAGATTCTGTATACACTGAAAGATAATCCAAAATAAGTGAATGTTTTATACCTCTTGGACTCTGATCACATGTGACCATGTAATAGTTAAATATTTTTTCTTACTGATAATGGCTCCTGAATAAGATGCCAGGTATAATAATCATAACAAAAGTATGGCAATTATGAAATGCACTGGCTATTTGTTCACCGATATTCATGTTCTCTTCCTCCTTGTCACTTGACATTTCCTAGGGTCCCTTGTAATTGAATTATGGTCAATGGAATGTAAACAGATATACTTCACATCTGTTTGATATGGGAATACATCTTCCTATTATTTTCCATGTTATCTTCCTTTCTTTGTCTGGTGATGGAGCCACATGATGGAAGAAGTCTTATTTCCTAAATGACTACATGAAACAGGACCCCTGGGTGACCTGCCCTGGACCATGACGTGAACAATGAATAAACTTTTATTGAGGCAAGTCGCTGATTTGGGGGTTGTTTTAGCAGTCAGGTAATACTGGCACACTTATATTTTAAATAACTCAAATTATCCCAAATGGTTGAGTGTTTCATTTAATTCTCATTAGATATTTGCCCTTACAGTGTTTCCTTGTATGACAGAAAGAGAAACAATTCCTGGTGGGACAATCCCTTAGTCTATCTTAGGGGCTACAGAATGGCAATGTACTGAAGCTGGAAATGGCTTTAGCCACTGTTCTGTCAGATATTTTCTAAACTCTAGGCTTTGACTAGGTAGACTAGAAATGTTTGGCAATTTCTCTCATTCACTAGGTATTTCCTGTTCAGCTGTTCACACTTGGACTCAGAATATTTAGAAATATAATTTAGGGATTGGTGTTCACAATTCTCCCCCAATCTTCTTTATTAGTCTCTCAAAATGAGGTTCGGTAACAAGACAGGGCAACATGATGTAATGGAAAGAACAGATAATTAATATTTGGGTTCTTGATTGCATTTGTTCCTTTGATTTTTTTTCTCTTTTTGCGTTGCACAAACCAACTAACATCTCTCTAAGACTCAGCTCTTTCAGTCTATAAAACAGGGATAATAATATCTGCAGTACTTTCTCAAAGTGTAGTTGTGAGAATAAAAAGAGATCATAAATGTGAGACTGTGTAAATATCTTTAAAGGACCATACAAATTCATGGCATTATAGCAAAAATAAATTATTATTATTATTATTATTACTATTATTATTGATTTTCTCCTTGGTGTAACTCTTAATGTTATGTGGATCTATGATGGGCTTGGGTGGAGGAAGATAATTAATGGGAAACAAGAAATAAAACGAGGCTGATCACAATGGTTTTCATCCTTGGCTGGCCATAGGAATCACCTATGATGCCTTATAAAATTCATGTACCTCAAAATTTTAGCTCAAGAGGACTAGAATGGGCTTAGATTATTATGTTGTGCAGCCAGAATGGAGAGTCACTGGTGTATAATCCAGCACAGTGGCTTCCTACTTGTATTAGACTTACCCAGAAATTTTGAAAAAATAGATTGGCCTGCAGTCCCTCTACCATCCCCACTCCAGATGTCCCAATTTAGTCAGTGTAAATGGGGTTCAGGAATTTGCCTTATGACTTGTCTCCCCATGTGTTCTGATGCAACTCAGTACATGGTTAGGGTGACTATATAATTTTTATAGTCCAAATTAGAACACTTTTGACTCATGTGTTATTCTGAATCCTCTGAGAAGCAGATGGCCAAATGGAGTTAGACATATGAGAAATGTATTAGGGGAAATGCCTATGAGAGAAAATAGGGAGAGGGCCAAAAGAGGCTGGAAGTGCTGTCAGACTTTGATGGAGGTCTGACCCCAAGTGAAGGAAAAAAGGAAGGGAAAAAAAGGATGGATAGAAGCACAGTGTAATTCTAAGAAAGTTCAGCAAGATAATAGGGGAGTCCTCAAGCCAAAGCTCGGTGTTAGAGAAATTCTGCACCACCCAGAAATGGGCAGGTGTCCTGCCATGGGGGAAGTGGAATCAACGCAAGCATGGAGTAGATTGCAGAGCATAGTACCTGAGGCGATCAATTACACCCCCTGCAGTTGAAGATCATAGAGGTATATTTTCACAGCCACCATGAACAAATATGGGGGCATCTTTAGTAATTTCACTCAGGCAGCAGGTGTAAATGAGAGTTGTTCTGTTCAAAGCAGGACATAAGGACACTTTCTCCGTGGTCTGCACTTGGGAAACACAAGGGTTAAGAGCTTTGTAATCAGTGGATATGATACGGAAACAGTTTTCAAGCTAGCCTACCTAATTTAACTGTAACTAGTTCCTTGGGGGAACCTAATTAACCTTACTAAACTTCAGTTTACTCATTAGCAAAATGAGAATACAACTAATTGCAACAATTGCATTGTCAGTTTGTTGTGTCGAGAAAAAGAAATTATATACATGAATCAATTAACATATAAGGTGCTCAGTCAATGACGCTATTAGTATTTTTTTAGTTTATCTGGAGAGATAATATATACCCCTCAAATATTATCCGTGCCAGCTCCAAGTTCCACCATGCAACCCATCCCATGAGGTCTCAGCGTTGCAGAATTAGATTGGACAGTAACAGGCAAACAACTTAGAAAACACTTGCTGATGGAGTTGAAATTTGAACAATTATCAGAGAAGCTTTACTTTCTTAGAGATGCCATTGTGTAAGGAGCCTGATCAGCTTTTTTGCAAGCCTAGCATTGATAATTTCTCCACAGTTCGTCAGAATTATTTTCTAGTCTGATACAAGAGCCACTAACTCATTTTTAAATCAGGGCTTTTTCCTCCTCTTCCTATGTTTGACTGCAAGAGACAGTACTTTTTGACTCTTCAGAGTATGGAGAATAGCTTTAGATAGTAAGTATTTTTAAATTGTAATAACAACAATACATAAGAAAATTAATGGAATTCATTTTAAGTCTGTACATTAAACATAGAGGTTATAAACTAGTCAGATATGTGTGGGAGGATTTTTTTCTAGTATGTACCAATTCAGAGAGAACACTTAAAACACTTATTGCTTATAATTTACAAAAGGTTTTTTTTGCTCTAATGTTACAGTTAAGCCCACTCTGAAAACAGTATCCACCACGCTACTAAACATGACAGGTTTTTACAATCTTAATTAGCTAGAGAATGCCCTTTTTGAAATGAGGTTAATTCCAGCTATTAATTTACCCCCTGGAGAACAAATCTGCCAAACATGCTTATTACCTGTTCCTGTGAACAAGCAGTTCATCCACTAGCATCCTCAACACTCTCTCTGCCAGCCTTTGGCCTCCTCTCTCCCAGTGATCCAGATGTGTCTGATGGTGGAGAAGGTTTTTTGCTAAGCGAGGTTTCTTTATTACTCTTTGATTTTTAAAAAATAAACAGGTTTATGAAAATATAATTCTAAATCCACATGTTTTAACTATTTAAACTATGCACTAAATGGCTTTAGTGTACTCATGTTGAGCATGAAAATGTTGAGCACCTTTTCATATGCCTGTTGGCCATTTGTATGTCTTCTTCTGAGAAACATCTACTCAAATCTTTTGCCCATTTTTGATTAGATTATTTTTTTCTATAGAGTTGTTTGAGTTCCTTATATATTATGGTTATTAATCCCAAGTCATATGGGTAGTTTGCAAATATTTACTCTCATTCTGTGGGTTGTATCTTCACTTTGTTGACTATACCCTTTGCTGTGCAGAAGCTTGTTAACTTGATGTGATCCCATTACTCTATTTTTGCTTTGGTTGCCTGTGCTTGCGTGGTGTTACTCAAGAAATGTTTTCCCAGACTAATATCCTGGAGTTTCCCCAATGTTTTCTTGTAGTAGCTTCTTAGTTTGAGGTCTTAGGTTTAAGTCTTTAATCCACTTATTTGATTTTTGTATATGGCGAGAGATGGAAGGCTAGGTTCATTCTTCTGCATATGGATATCCAGTTTTCCCAGCACCATTTATTGAAAAGACTGTATTTTCCCCAGTGTATGTTCTTGGCACCTTTGTCAAAAATGAGTTCACTATAGGTGTGTGCATTTGTTTCTGGGTTCTCTTTTCTGTTCCATTGGTCTAAGTGTCTGATTTTATGCCAGTACCATACTGTTTTGGTTACTATAGCTCTGTAGGATAATTTGCAGTCAAGTAATGTGATTCCTCCAGTTTTGTTCTTTTTACTTAGGATAGCTTTGACTATTCTGGGCCTTTTGTGGTACCATATACACTTTAGGATAGTTTTTTTTTTTCTATTTCTGTGAAGAATGTAACTGGTATGTTGATAGGAATTGGATTAATCTGTAGATTGCTTTGTGTACTATGGACATTTTAACATTAGTGATTTTTTTAATCCATGAATATGAAATATCTTTCCATTTTTGGTGTTCTCTTCAATTTCTTTCATCAGTGTTTTATAGTTTTTATTATAGAGATTTTTCACTTCTCTGGTTAATTTCTAGGTATTTAATTTAATGTGTGGCTCTTGTATTAATTTTAAATTTCTTTTTCACATTGTTCACTGTTGGCATGTAGAAATACTACTGATTTTTGTATGTTGATTTTGTAACCCACAACATTACTGAATTAGTTTAATAGTTTTTTTATGGAGTCTTTAGGTTTTCCAATATATAAGATCATATCATCTGCAAACAAGGATAATTTGACTTCTTCCTTTCCAATTTGGAAGCCCTTTATATCTTTCTTTTGTCTAATTGCTCTAGCTGGGACTTCCAGTACTATATAGAGTGACAGTGGTAATAGTGGGCATCCTTGTCGTGTTCCAGATCTTAGAGGGAAGGTTTTCAGTTTTTCCCCATTTAGGATGACACTAGCTGTGAGTCTGTTGTATATGGTTTTTATCATGTTGCGGTATGTTCCTTCTATACCCAGTTTTTTAGAGTTTTTATCTTAAGGGATATTGAATTTTATTAAATGCTTTTTCAGCATCAATTGAAATGATCATATAGTTTTTATCCTTCACTCTGTTGATATGATGCATCACATTGATTGATTTGCATATGTTGAACCATCCTTGCCTCCCAGGGATAAAACCCACTTGGTCATGATGGATGATCTTTCTAATGTATTGTTGAATTTGGTTTGGTAGTATTTTGTTGAGAATTTTTGTATCAATATTCATTAGATATATTGGCCTGTAGTTTTCTTTTTTGATGTGTTTTGGTCTGGTTTTGGTATCAGGGTAATACTGGCCTTGTAGAATGAGTTTGGAAGTATTCATGCCTTCTCTATTTTTCCAAATAGGTTGAGTAGAATTGGTATTAGTTCTTCTTTAAATGTTTGATAGAATTAAGCAGTAAAGCCATTGGTCCCAGGCTTTTCGTTAGTGGGAGAATTTTTATTACAGCTTTGACCTTGTTACTTGTTATTGGTCTGTTCAGGTTTTGAGTTTCTTCATGGTTCAGCCTTGGTAGGTTGTATGTGTTTAGGAATTTGTTCATTTCTTCTAGGTTTTCCAAATTTATTGGCATATAGTTGCTCATAGTAGCCACTAGTGATCCTTTGAATTTCTGCAGTATCAGTTGTAATGTCTCTGGTTTCATTTCTGATTTTATTTATTTGCATCTTCTCTCTTTTTTTCTTAGGCTAAATGTTTGTCAATTTTGTTTAAGTTTTCAAAAAGCCAACTTTTTGTTTCATTTATCTTTTGTATTGTTTTCTTCATTTAAATTTCATCTTCTCTGATCTTTATTATTTCTTTTCTCCTACCAATTTTGAATTTGGTTTTCTCTTGCTTTTCTTGTTCTTTAAGATGCATCATTAGATTGTTCATTTGAAGTTTTTCCTCTTTTTTTGATGTAGGCATTTATAACTATAAACTTCCCTTTAAGTACTGCTTTTGCTATATTCCACAGCTTTTGGTATGTTGTGTTTCCATTATAATTTGTTTCAAGAAATTTTTCAATGTTTTTCTTAATTTCTTCATTGACCCACAGGTCATTTGGGAGCATATTGTTTAATTTTCATGTATTTGTATAGTTTCCAAATTTTCTCTTTTTTTATTTTCTAATTTTATTCCATTGTGGTCAGAGAAGATGCTTGATATTATTTCCGTTTTTTGAATGTTTTTAGACTTGTTTTGTGACCTAACATATGGTCTATCCTTGAGAATGATCCATGTGCTGAGGAAAAGAATTTGTATTCTGCAGCCATTGGATAAAATGTTCTATAGGTTTCTACTAGATCCAGTTAGTCTATAGTGCAGATTAAGTGTGATATTTCTTTGTTGCTTTTCTGTCTGGAAGATCTGTCCAATGCTGAAAATGGGGTGTTGAAGTCTCCAGCTATTATCGTATTTGGGTCTATCTCTTTAGATCTAATACTATTTCCTTTATATAGCTGGGTGTTCCAATGTTTCTTCTTGTTTGTTTTAAATTATTTCAATCTCTTTGTTAAAGTTATCTGGTAGAATTTTGAATTCCCTCTCTGTCATGTTAAATTTCTTTGAGTTTCATCAAAACTGCTATTTTGAATTTTCTGTCTGAAGGTGGCATGTCTCTGTTTCTCCAGGATTGGTCTCTGGTGCCTTATTTACTTCATTTGGTGATGCCATGTTTTCCTGAATGGCGTTGATGCTAGTAGATGTTCTTTGGTGTCTGGACATTGAAGAGTTAGGTATTTATTGTAGTCTTCATAGTCTGGGCTTGTTTGTAGGCATCCTTTTTGGGAGGGCTTTCCAGATATTTGAAAGGACTTGAGTGTTGTGATCTAAGCTGTATCTGCTTTAGGGAGTAACCCAAGCCTAGTAATGCTGTGGTTCTTGCATACTTGTAGAGGTACTACCTGGATGATATTGGACAAAATCCAGGATATTTCTCTGGATTACCAGGCAGAGACTCTTATTCTCTTCCCTTAGTTTCTTGCAAAGAAACAAAGGCTCTCTCTCTGCTCTGAGCCACCTGATGATGGAAGTTGAGTGACATAAGCACTCCTGTGGCCACCACCACTATGACTGCACTGGATCATACCTGAAGCCAGTACAACACTGGATCTCTCATGAGGGCTGTTTTACCCACCCCCTGGATACTGCCTAATTTCATTCTAGGTTCTGGGGCTCTAGAAGCAACCAGTGGCAATATCAGCCAGGCCTGTGCCCTTCCTTTCAGGGTGGTGAGGTACCCTAGACCCCAGGTGTGTCCAGAGGTGTTGTCTGGGGGGTCAGGGACTAGAGTCAAAAACCTTAAAAGTCTACCTGTTGTTCTATCGTACTACAGCTGAGCTTAGTCAAACCACAAGACAGAGTTTTTCCCACTTTTCCCTCCCCTTTCCAAAGGCAAAGGAAGCTTACCCCATAGTCACCACCATCCCAGGCCATGAGGAGTACTGCCAGAATACTGCTGATGTTCCGTTAAGGCCCAAGGCTTCTTAAATCACCTTTGATGAATGCTGCCTGGCCTGGAACTCACTTTTCAGGGAAGTGGGCTCCCCTCTTGCCAAGGGCAGGTCCAGAAATGCCATCCAAGAGTCAAGTCCTAGAGTTAAGGACCCCAAGAGCCCGCTTGGTGCTCCAACCTCCCATGGCCATGCTGGTACCTAAGGTGCAAGACAAAGTCCCTTTGACTTTTCTTTCTACTTTTCTCAAGCAGAAGGAGTTTTTCCCCATAGCCACCACAGCTGGTAATGTGTTGAGCCTCACCTGAAGCCAGCAAGTCTCAGAGGCTCACCCAAGGCCCTCAACCTGGGTATTGCAAGTGATGAATGGTGCCAGGACTTGGTCTTTTCCTTCAAGGCAGCAGGTTCCCTTCTGGCCCAGGGTGTGTCTAGAAGTGTCTAGGGCCTGGAATTGGGGCCTCATGACTCTTACTGGGGCCCTATCCTGATGTGGCTGAGCTGGTATCCAAGATGCAAGACAAAGTCTCTCTCTCTCTCAAAGTCCCTCTCCTCTCCTCAAGTAGAAGGAAGGAGTCTCTTTTGGAGTCATTAGCTGTGTAGCCTGTAGTTAGGGAATGGGTGATGCCAGCACTCCCTTAGCTGCCCTGGCTGATGTCTCAGTATGGCACCTGCCCCCTCAGTCCACTGTCTCTGGGCCTAGTTCAGCACTAGGACTCACCTAAGAGTTGCAATCCTTGTGGCCTAGACTACCTTTCAAGTTTACCTGGAGACAGACAGCACTGTAGCCCTAGGTGATGAGGTTTGCAAGAACTCTAGTTTGGACTGCTGGGCTTGGTGATTCCACTCTGGCTAGGGCCTGTTTAAATGCTCCCTGCGTGGGCGGGTGTAAGCCGAGTTTGGTCCGGTTTTCTTTTCTGCCCTACCACGACAGCACTGAGTTCAATGCCTCACAATTGTTGTGTTCTTTTTCCCTCAGAGCCAAGAGATGCTCTCCGCAGCAGGCCACACTGCTGGGGGTAAGGGAGGGGTGGCGTCCGCCATTCAGAACTATTTTTTCTATCTCTTTAGTGCTTCTTTCAGTGATATGAAGTTAAAACTAGGTATTATAAGTGCTCACCTGATTTTTGGTTCCATGAAGATTTTTTTTTTTTCCTGTGTAGATAGTTGTTAACTTGGTGTCCTTGAGGAGGGGACAATTGGTAGAGCCTTCTGTTCTGCCACCTTACTCTCCCTTTCTCCTGGAATTGTTTTCTTATAAAGAGTTGTTTATTGAAAGTTTCACAAAAGGCCATTTTTTTTTAACTTTGAGTTGGGACTTCAAAAATCATGAGTGATCACAAACACACACACAATTTCAAATCTAGGTTATTCATTGCAGAGGGCTGCTCAGGGAGGGAAATATCCTGTCACATCCAAAAGATTTGGCATACTCCCGGTTGCTAAGAGTGTCACTACCAATTACTTTGCTTGTAAGGCGGCTTCTCTACAGATTCAGGAAGCAGGTGAGGTCTGTGATGGGCTCCTCAACTCCTCTTTCCTTAGAGCCTCATCTAAAGCTTCCCAGAGTTCTCTTAAGGCAGCCCTACTTTTCTGACATTCCTTGGTTACCATGTGGCCACCATGTGGCCTCCTACCCGAGTTTGACTTTGCTGATCCGTATCCTGAATGTCTCATTCTCAGCTACCCAACCACCGACCTCAAATTTTCTGTGTGATGACATTTTTATTAGCACAGAAGTCAGCATACAGTGGCAGACTTTGGTAAGAAGATGGTACGGGCAGGAGATGTGACCACAAAAGCAACATAGGCTCCAGAGATGTGGGAGAACTTCAGTGAGAGGTACATTTATACAGGCAGAGGCAAGATTCAGAAATAAGGTCAAGGGAAAATGGTCATGAACAAGGATGAAAGCAACAGTAATTCATAGAGCAGGCTTAAATGTCATCATGGTTTGGGACCATGGTAGGATCAATAGACAAGATAGTCGGAGGACTGAACAAAAAGCAGAAGTCAGCAATGAAGCCAAGCCTCAGACAGTAGCAATAGAAATGACATTAATTCAGGTCTCAGTCACTTCCTTCAGTTACCATCAGCTCAGCATCTTCCCTTTGAGGTGGCCCCCCAAGTTCTTAAAGGATCCAGGGTTTTAGTGTCAGTCAGAGTTCAATCAGAAAAGCAGAATCATTGGGAGATATTTCTCCCTATCTCTATCACTATCTCTTTCCCTATTACTATCTCTATCTCTAGCTATATCTATGTATTTACAACTATAGATAGCTCTATTAAGGAATTTATTATTGGAATTTGACCTTCTGCAATTTGTGGAAGTAGATTAAACAGCCCATATGAGGCTGTTGCTGATGAATCTAATGCTGGAGCCCAAATTCTCAGGACTTGCAGCCAGGAAGGGAAGACAAACATAAAGTAGAGGAAACAAAGATAAACTGGAACTTGCAAAGCTGAGCTGGAACACATGAAGATGAACTAGAACCATGTTGGTCTCTCACCATAAACTTTATGCCTCCATCTTTGATGATGAAGCTTTCCTGCAGAAGTTAGCACCTTTCATCTCAGAGATAAACACCTAATTTTTGAGGGAATTGGAGAAGCTGTAAGAGGCAAGAGATTGAGCAGTTATGGCCCAGATGCTGCCTCACACTAGGGTGAGGCAGCAGATGGGAGTGAACCTGTGTGAGCTGAAATAGCACCTTATGCCCTATACCGATAATTCAAGAGTAAGAAGAAGATGGTTCTGCTTCATTTATATCATCATCTCTTGCATCATATGCAAAACATCTCTTGTGGCCCACACTAACCCAGAAATACACAGGGAAGGAAACTCTGGAGAAATATTGTACTAGCTTTGCTAAGTTGACACAGAACAAATCTACAATGCTTGTCAGCACAGATCATGTTTCTCACTGAAAAATTCCTTATTTTTCCAGGAGCATTTGTTGTCACATCTTCAGAAAAGAACCCCCACTCTGTAGGGTTCACGTTCCCAGTAGATGGGTAGAACCTACCTCAAGGCTTTCTGGGGCAAGAATTGTGATAGCTGGGATCTTAACTGGAGCCCTGAGGAGCATTTTCCACTTAATCAGCTTAAGGAATAAGGCTAAAAGGATGGGATTTCTCAGTCCAATGACATAAAATAGTTCCATAACTCATAAGGCTAGCCCTTTGTATTCTCATGGAGTATAGTACAGACTCACACACATTTTAACCACAAGCTGTACTCCTGTGAGATTTGCTCTTAAGTAAAGATGAATGAAGCAGATGAGGAGGGAGAGGGTTGCTTGGTATATCTAACTGGTTTGCCTTAATGGTTGTGACCATAGCTCTCTAAAAAGAACTAACAGTGAAGAGTAAACAGACATGGAGTGGAGGGACTACTTATCCCTTCCTTAAGGCAAATAAATCCCCTTCCTTCAGGTACTGATTTAGGATAACTTTTACAATGTAAAAGTGAATGCACCCAGCATTATCCGTTTAATTTTCTTGCTTGTTTTGTTTGTGATCATTGTTAATTAATGGAGGTAAAGACACTACAAAAAGAAAAACAAAACAAAAAATAACTGGCTCTGGATGGCTATATAAGAATAATTTTGAGTTTAAAGGGATTCCAAGAATAAAAACAATTACAGGTCAGCCTTGCAAATTGTCAGCTGCCCTAGGCCAAACATGATTTATGTGTGCAGTAAAGGATTCAGCTTGTTTCTTGATCTGCCCTAGGATTCCATTTTTCTTCTACTAACTATGACGTCCCTCCTCCATACACATAAACCCATCCCTGTCACCAGCAACTTTGAAAAACAAAAGCAGTTTTGCAATGTTTGGATCCTGGTAAATTTCATATGCTTATTTTCAACAAATGGCCTGGATAAGAGTTTCCAATAAACTACAAACCAAGCTTATTTTGTTTTATTCACGGAGCAAAAATCTTTTCTAACACACAAGTGAACAAGATCATGATTTATGTATCAAGAATTAAAAATATATTCTTCATCAAAATCTATAACTTATATCTTTATCTGGAGTAAGCAGTTATGGTAACTAAATACCTGCATATTTTTTCACTTCTTTGTTACATGATTCCCCTTGTTAGGAACCCCTTTGGAACCAAAATGCCCTATATTCTTAATGACTTGTGGAGCCAGATTTATCTTTCTAGTTTCATCCCTGTTGAAATCCCATTAGAGGAGATGGCCTATTGTTACATTTTCATTGCAAATTGCACACCTGATATTTTAGGACATTTAATAATTAAGTGAGCAGCAGCATGACTCCTGAGTAACTGCAAAATGATTTGACAGCAATTGAAAAAGTGTATTAGCCTATACTTTAGATCCAACAGCTTCTTATCTAAGAGGAAAAGGTGCCAGCACCCTTTCAGAGAATTAGATGGAGGAGGACACATTGACACTAATACGGATTGGAGAAAACCAGGCAATATGAGCATGGGCAATCTCTAAAGATTTTTTTTGTAATTGGGAAGTGAGAATACTTTACACAGTGATGAGGATGTTTGTCCTGTTTTTGTGATGTGTGTCATGCATTATTATCCTAGCTCAAAGTATATATATATCCACATATCCAGTATTAGGAGGCAGGATTGTTTGTTTGTTTTATTTTATTTTTTCATGTTGTTTTGCAAATACAATCTCTGGTGAGGAATAGATAGTTCTTAACTTTAGGAAATACACAATCTAAATACTGAACTAATAGAAAGTCAAGGATGGTTAGAATTAGCAACCAGGACACTAGCCTTTCCAAGCTGATGCTAAATCCATACTGACTTTCCCCTAATAGTCTCTTCAGGCCTATTTATTTTCACCCATCATTGGAAAACATACTTCTGACTTTATTTTCTTTAGCTCTCAAATAAGAAATCCTTGGTTTGCTTGTGAGATTTTGTCTAAGAGAGCAAACATTGACCTTGTCTACATTTCAGTTATTAGAAGTATTAACCGTAATAGTTATAACCTTTTCAGCTATAAATATGACATACATAAGGACACAACTCAGTTGAAATTCTAAACAATGAATAGATTATTTTTCTCGCCTACAGAGAAATGAACACCTTTATACCATACATGTGTATCATGTATAGGAGTCAGATTTTAGCTAATTCAACAAGGAGGGCTTGATCAAATCTCCCCCAAGGACCATTGTTATTTTAATTTTGAAGAATTCAGAAATTTAGCTTCTCAATTTCAAGATTCTACTAGAATCAGGAATACAATTAGTCTGATAATCACATTGCTCTAGAATAACATTCTTAACATCTGTCCATATAAATGCCACTTACCATTAAGATGAACAGTGACTGGTTTTGAATTTTGTTTTGCCCACAAATCATTGTTAAACTTGAAGTTTCTTTACCTTTGGCTTATAGAGTGGGGATTCCTTAAATAAATTTAAGGAATTGTTATGGAGACTACAGGGCAACACTCCTCTTCTTTCATGATATCCAAAGGAAGAGAACTCTACTAAAAAGAGGTCTGGGCACAAAACTGAGTACGAGACTCAGAGGTTTGCAAACTTAGTTGTGCCACTAACTTGGCTTAACCCTGGATAATACAAATTATGTCTATGTGTATGAGTTTTCTCATCAGGAAAGTGAGGTATGATCTTTGTTTGCCCTACTTCTCTGTGTTTTGATGGCCTAAAGAGGAATGAAAAAGTACTTTGCCAGCTGCAGGACATCATGCGAAGCTACAATCTTACAATATGAGGCTTCCTGTGAGTGACAAGGCCATTGGAAGTCAGGAATACCTCATGGTAAACAAATCTCTGACCATGCTTTTCTCTAAATCAATTGTTCCCAACCCTAGCTGCATATGGGACAGCTCTAAAATATTAATGCCTGGATCACACCACCAGTGACTCTGATGTCATTGGTCTGGGGTGTGGCCTAAGCATAAGGATTTCTAAAATCTTCCCAGGTGATTCTAACCTGCTGTCAAGGTCAAGAAACACTGCAAAGTATTGTGGAGTAATGACTTTTGGATGCCTGACTCTTGCTCATACCTTATGCTACTTGTCTGGCTTAAATGCTGGCCTGTAGAAACATCCTCCCAAAGCTTCACTGGATCCAGTTGTAGAAAGTAGAACACTGGGATAGGATCAGAAAACCTACATGTGAGTCCTTGATGTGTCACCTTAGAGCTGTGTGACTTTGGGCAATTCATGACTATGCCAATGATAATAACAATATGACAGCTAGCATTTATTGTACATCAATTAATGACTAATAATTAGAAATGGTTAACATGTCCAGTCTCCAATAACAACCCAAAGTGGACATTATTTTCCCATTTTACATCAGAGAAAACTGAGGCCTCATCATATTGAATGACTTACCCATGTTTTTCCTTATTTGCAAAATGGGTATAATAATAACCTGTCATACATAATAATGAGATAAAAAAATGTACAGGAAAGTTATCTGTAAACTAAGGCATTGTACATAAATTTAGCAAATATATAGCCATGTGGATAAAGCTTGAGATTTTGCTTCAAACAGTCTTGAGTTTCTTTCCCAGTTCTGTCTACATAATTGCAGGACAATCTTAAGAAGTTTATTTAGCATCATTTTACTGTGTTTTTAAAACCACATAATGGGAGATCTTATTGTCTTCTTTTATAGGATTATTGTGGATTACAGATAACGTACTTAAAAAGCAAAGCATAGTGCCTGGCACTATAGCTCAATAAAAGCAGCTATTGTCATTTTCAATTGTTGGGGTCTCTATAGATCAGGTAGTTCCTGCTTCCAAATTTATGATTAATACCTATTGAAATCTTTCTGTGTCTTCGTTGTTAAAGTATTATTATTGTTAGAATTCTATTTCCATCCTGGATTTTGAATCATTAGGGTTGGGTTTTGGGCTTTGTATAAAGTACACTTAAAGACCTTTTGGTCTATCTCTATATTTAAACAGAGCCTACTGTTTGGACAATCTCTTTTGAGTAAGAGTGGACAAATGGCATATCTCCACTTTCATTGTAGCAGGACCTGGAAAGTCAGTTCACCTTGGCCACCATACTCATCATAATCCTGGTCAGAATATTCACTAGGAGCTTCAATATTTACAGACTCTGAAGGAATTTGCAGACACTGTGTCTCAGCTCCATTTTGCATAGGAGAATACAACTATACCTAACAGTCATTACAGGGAAATTTGAGCCCTCTCCCTGTTCAGTCTCTCAGTTACCTACATACCCAATCCACTTACCACAGGTCACTGAAGTTTTCTTTCAAAGATGCAAATTTAATGATCGTTTTTGTTTGATTCTTCCTTGCTTTCAGGACAAAGTCTAAACTTTGCCTGGAATGTCTTTTTTTCTTTGTCTTGGCAAGTAACCAAATACTTCCCCTCTCAGCACCAGTGCAGACTTCACCTGCTCTGTGAGGTCTCCTCCGACTCTCCGAGGCTGGACTGCATGCCCCCATGACACCTGCATCAACCTCTAAACAAGCATATTGCCTTGGAATTGTAGGTTTACAATTCTAGAATGTGAGCCCCAATGCTATGCCTTACTTATCTTTAAACTCTTACTCTGAGAACAGTGCCAGTTCCATAACAGGGGTTCAATAAACGTTTAGTAAATGAAGTAAATGAAGAAAATAAAATATCTAACCTTGTAAAAATTGTGTACAAAGTTAGAGTAAATAGACTTTGAGTTAAGGCTTGAGGACCTTTCCTATATATGAATTGAATAAACTTAGTGTATAAACTTGAAGACCTTTATTTAGAGTATTTGATACTTTTTGATTACTTTCTGAATATTAACTATGCTGTGGGTAGTTGATATTATTTGATAAGTGACTTTCCAATATGGATATTGTAATATGCTCAAGATTCAGCATATGATATGCATTATAAAAAATAAAAACATAGTTATTACCTTGATATCTATTGATAAATATCCTTGACAGGAGTAAGGAACCTCCTTCCTCCTACTCACTCAGCAACTAGCTTGGACAGGTCAATTAACTTTTCTGGGCTTCAGTTGCCTACAAATGAGAGGCTTGAAATAAACAATGTCTAAATTTTCTGCCAGCTCAAACATGCTATAATCATGTAAAACCATGCTCTCAAAAAAGGGTTGATGTGTTTTGCATTGCAGAGCTTTTTCTAACTTGGATATTTGATTTTGACTCTATAATAAACTGAAGGTCCCTTAAAAGAAAGATCATGAATGCAGGGAGGAAGGTTCAGGTAAAGATTATCTTAAAAAAGGAGCGAAATAGAGTCAGGGTGGAAAGTGAGATTTGTGACCCAGCCTGTCTTTTCTCCCTCTATCTTCACACTGTCCTATTTATTTTTTAGGGCAAGAGATGAAAGTAGGTTGGACTTGGAGGGGGATGGGCAGAGGGGCATCCTGCAGCTGCAGTTTCCTTTCATGTCCCCCTTAAACCCAGTGACAGGATAGAGGAAAAGCTAATTGAGGTGAGATGACTTCCCATGTGCCTGAGGGTCCTAAGCCCTTTCATCTCCCGTTTCCCTCTGAACATTTAAAACCTGCATAATGACAAACACCAAGACTACAATCCTGACAGGGCTAGGCTGAGCATTTTGTGCTCAAAAAACGTTCTTTCTAAACTCTGGGGCCTGGGGGATTTGCGAGGGGAGATTGAGGACTTCATTGCCTCTCTCCCTTCCAGATGAAAAAGCAGCTGCTTGTGGAATTTATGTGTTGGTGGTTTGACAGACATGAAGGTGGAAGTACCTGTGATCGAGTAAGCAAATGAGAGGCTGATTTCTCCTGAAAGAGATGGGAATTGCACTCTCTAAGGAATGCAGTATGACGTGGGAGTGCCTGAGCTAGTCCTCAGAAGGCTCTAATGGGATTCTCTTCTTCACTTTTTTTAAGCCCCGAGGCTCTGTCGTACAAGGCTATATTCTGCTGACTGAGTGTGCTGACGAGGTGGTTAACAAGTGCTCTGTTAGTTCTTAGCAGGCAGGAGTTTTCAGTTGTTTCAGCACTTACTCACCTTTTAGCTTCTCTCCAGTATGTTTGGATTCTTGGTTGTGCTTTGTTTTGTTTTGTTTCATTTTGTTTTGTTTCTGATAGTTTATGTGGTAGATGGATGGAATGATTTTTGAAAACGACCTTGTGGGCTTCCAGTTTCCCCATTACATTGGGGAGTTTGTCAAGAAGAGCACCCATTCGCTCTATCAAATAAGTGGCTATGGTCATTTGTAATGGTCTTCACTGCAAATGATAACCCTTAATCTCTTCACCCCAGACTGGATGGGCACCATATGTTTGCAAGGTACTTACTTTTTGAACCTGGATTTTCTTGTACTTGGAAATGTGGTATCTTTGGACAAATGCTGTAGTAAGTAGCAGAGCCAATGGGCACCTTCTCACCCTTCAGAGCACCAGTTTTCTCTGGGGGCTCCCAGAACACGTAGGTTATCTTCCAAATGCTTTTTACATTCACATGACCAGATTCCCCCTAACTTTTACATTTTGTTTTATTTATTTGTGTTTTGAATTAGTGCTACATCTACATGGCACAAAATGGAAAAGGTACAAGAGTATTTTGTGAAAAGTCTTCCTCTTATTCCTGTCCCTCAGCCTACCTGTCCTCTCCTTCAGAGGTAACTTACCAATGTTACTGTTTTCTTTCTGAATCCTTCCAAAGATATTCCATACTTATACAAGCAACTACGTACACAGGATATTTTTACTCCTTTACAAACCCACATGGTAGCAGAGCATACACAGCTAGACCCCTTGCTTGATTCACTTACATGTTTCAGAGATTTTTCCATCATCAATCCATATACACATACCTTATTCTTTTTTTATAGCTGCACAGTATTTTGGGCCTTGGATTTACCATAGTATATTTAACCAATTATGAGGTCATCCATAACTTAGAAATATGTGCACAGAAGACATTGTTGCAAGGAACAGCATCACCGCACAGTTTCCTCTTATCTTGTTCCAGCAAGTTATATGTTATTTGTGCCTCTTCCCAGGGGCACTAAGTTTGGTGCTAAACCTCCCCATAGCTTGAAGCCTGCACACACATGCACACAAACAAACACACACACCACCTCTCTGCCACCAGACCCCTGATGCCTGGGAACCATTTTTCTTTTCTTTAGTGAGAAGGCTAGATTTCTAACCTCTTGACCTATATTATTTTATTAGTAGCACTACTTTTATATAGTTCTGGCATTATGCCCTGGACATGGGAAAAATTTGTTCCAGCATTGCTAGGCCATTTAAGACTGTGACATGTCACTGGAGTATCATGGTAAGTAATTGCCATGTTACCCTATTCCCTATCATACGTGTATGTCATCAAGCAGCCCTACTGTACCTAGACATTACAGGTCACAGAGAAATCACTACAGCATCCTGGGTTGAGAATATAAATTTTAGTTCTAGGAGTTGGATAATTGTAATATCTTTTGTATTTAACAGTGGCTATTGGTTTCTTAACATAGCTCAGCTTATATAGATACTGAGTCTCCCAGGGCAGGAACCATCACCTGCCTTACTCATCTTGTTTCCTTTAATGCTTAACACAGTGCCTGGCATCTGAAAAGCATTCACTATAGACTGAAAGATTTGAGTATTTGGAAGAAATATTAGAAAGATAAATCATTTTGAATTTTATATAAGATCCTTATATATGTTAGGGTTTGATTAGAGAAGCAAAACTATAAGCAATATGTAAAGGATTTATTACAAGAATTTGACTTACATAATTAAGGAAGCTTGATTTTTGTATGATGGTTGCTTCTGCACCTGGTGCTGGGTCTGACGTCAGCAGGACAGGTAACTGGGAAGGAAAGATGGACAAAAAGTAAGAGAAAGTAGGGACGGACTAGAACCCATCTGAGGAAAAGCCAGGATGTGTGCCAGTCTCAAACTTCTCTCAAGCCTCCAACTTCAATAATGCAGTGACACGAAGGAGAATTCAATGCCCTTCCTCATAATGCTGAACATGGATTTGATGCAGGAGTCAGAGAAGTTAAGGGAAAGACATACTTGTAGTTGGAGGAAAGATAGATCTGACTTTTGCCCCAGAAGCTGCATAAAGTAGTCCAGGATTTGGAGAAGCTCTAGAAGATCTGGCAGGAGCTGGAGGAGCTCTGGGACCAGCTGCTGCCCTACACCAACAGGGCGAGCCAGCAGATCAGTGACAATGTGTGGGAACTGCAACATCACCCTGTGCCGTGCACTGTCCTTTCAAGTGTAAAAAAGAATATGGACACTGCTTTACTCCACTGTGCAAATCTTACCCAAAATGTCTCTTGTGACCTATGTGAACTAAAAAGTATGAGAGAAGGGAATTCTGGGAAACATAGTTCCAGGTTAGCTAAGTTGACAGAATAAATCCACCATCAGCAGGGTTTGCTTTCTTTTGATATCACCCCAAATCGGGTTATCTAAAAGGAAGCATTCACAGACTAAACTAACCTCCCAATTTAATCCTCAATATCTATAGAAAGGCAAAGAAGAATACTATATCTTTCTATTGCTCCCCCAAAATAGTATTTTTACCCTCATGGGAAACCTATGGTTTTACTGGGAATATTACAAACCCCTTCCCTGGAAGAATCTACTTTACAAAGGCAAAATTATTCACCTCCAGATATCATAGAGCTTAGTTCAAACAGGAAAAAGAAAAAGTCTTGTTTTTCCAGTAGCTGTTCCTTCTGAGTTCAGTATTTTTTTCCCAGCCCACTCAAAGTTAAAAAAAAATGTTGTGCATATAAGCTATTTTTTCTTCTTCTTGAATTTACTTTCATTTTATTCTTAAATTTGCTAAAAGCAGTAAAACAACCTGATAGTAGATCTCAGAGAATCTAGCAATGCTTAGACCAGCCTGACCAACATCACGAAACCCTGTGTCTACTAAAATCGTAAAAATTAGGTGGGCATGGTGGTATGCACCTGTAATCCCAACTACTCAGGAGACTGAGGCAGGAGAATCGCTTGAACCTGGGACGCGGAGGTTGCAGTGAGCCGAGATAGTGCTACTGCACTCTAGCCTGGGCAACAGAGCGAGACACCGTCTCAAAAAAAATAAATTAATTAAATTAAATTAAATTAAATTAAAAGGAGGTATTTTCAGCCTATTCCAAAGTTGCTCAGTTCTATTCAGACACTGTGGTAGGGTGCACAATTGGTACTAATTTTTACTTCTTTTTGTATTTCCACCTTTGTTGTGGGACTTGTGACTTTGCAGGTCCTCTGATTACAGGGACCAAGTCTATTTCCTCAGCAGTTGACTTTGGGCTGGGCTGTGTGACTTGATTTGGCCAATAGCATATTGGCAGAAACAAGAGTAGCCAGTTCTGAGTCTAGGCCCTAAGGGGCCTTGTGTCTTTTGCCTGCCCTCTTGTACTTCTGCCATCCCCTAAGAAAGGCTTCTCCTGGGTAGTGCGACCCCTCAGCCAAAACCACAGAGGAGGCAAACATAGAACAGAGCTGTTCCAAATGACCTGAAGATCTGTGAGAACAAATGTCTGTTGTTTAAAGCCAAACGATTTTGGGCGTGGTTTGTTATGTAGCATTTTTGTGGAAATACCTGCTTGAGTTTTCTTTTGCTATGTAACACCGCCCTCAAAAAAAAAAAAAATACTTAGTGGCTTGCAGCAACAATCATTTATTTGCTCACAGATCTGGGATTTGGGCAGAGCTCGGCAGGGAAGGCTCCTCCCTCTTCCACATGGGGCAGCTTGAAGGAATGTGGAAGACTCAACTTCCAAGAAGGCTCACTTGTGACTGGCAAGTTGGTGCTGGCTTCCAGCTTGAGCTCACTGGGGGCCTCTTCACATGTACCTCTCCTTGGCTTTCCCACACATGGTGGCTGGGTTCCAAAATGAGCATGTTAAGAGATAGAAAGTAGAAACTGCCAATTTCTTAAGTCTTGGACCCAGAAACTGGTTCAGCCTCACTTCTGCCATATTTTATCAGTCCAGAATTCTCAGAGCCCATAGTCAAGGGCAGAGGATATAGAACTTGCTCTGTGAGGAATGTCAAAGAATTTGGGGGCCATGTTCTAAAACTGCTACAATATTTAACCAATATAGACATCTTGAAGCTTAAACTCTTCAACCAGAAAGGGAAAATAAATCTCTGGGGGTGAAAAAAAAAAAAAAAGGGAGGAGTAAGAAACAGAAAAGACACGTGAGAAATATCACCCATTTCACACTCGTCTTAGATGTTTCTAAGTTTCTACTCTAGGAACAAAGCAAAAGAAGAGACCAATATTTCTGCGGCCCACTTGGCAATTAGAAGCATTTTTTTAAGAGTTTCAACTTGAGAATTTTGAGTAGGAAGTTGACAAAATAAAATCTGGGTCACGGTGATGTCATGGATAGAAAAATCATTTTATTCAGGTGATCTGGCTCTGCCCCGATTCTGTACTACCTTCCTATGACCTCCGGCACTGGCATGTTATTTAACCTCTCTGGGTCTCAGGTCTTTCATCTGTAAATGGAGTGAACAGGGTGGTATTTGAGGTTTCTTCCTGTTCTGACACTCTATAAATCATTGTCATTTTCTTTATGACTCTGACATCTAAATGATGGCCTGGACTTTCTATATTTAACTCTCCAGAATCTATTTTTTGCTGCATGCCCTTGATAATGAATGGGATTCCTTAGTAAAACTAAACCTTAAGGTCTGAGCAATAATGAGCTTCAGAATAATGATTGCCAGGCTGAGTGGGACAGCCACACTAGCAGCTGAGCACTCACTTCTCATTGTAATTAGAATGAAATGAAAACACCTTTTTTTCCTCCACTTTAGAATGGAAAGGAAGACTAACATTTTCAAAGGGAAGTTTACCAAAAGCTAAGAAAACAAAACAGAAATAATTGCCCCAAAATAAGTAGCATAAAATATTCATATCTAAAATACAGGAAATAAAAGCAATAAAGAGTTTTTCTGTGCTGAAATCTCCTTATGCTAAATAGCTATCTCCTGTCCCTGTGGTGCTGTGGATTAGAAGTGATAAAACGTGGGTTCAAATCCCAGCTCTGCTATTTAAAACTTTTACCTGGGCCAAGTTCCCCAAGCATATTGAACCTTAATTTCTTCATCTCTAAAATGAGAATAATCATATCTATCGCTGACAGTTGTTGATAGGATTAAATTAGATAATATAGGCAAAATAACAGGCTCATAGAAGGTTGGCTTAGCTTGGGGTCTCTGAAAAGCAGACCCCAAAACAAGGATTCCAGTGTACATGGTTTTCGAGGAGGTTCAGGGAACACATCCAGGGAAGTAGGGAAGTGAGGGAAGAAAAGGCAGCCAATAAGGGGCATGATTATTAAGACTGCTGCCAGAGTGACTGAAGCTTAATCCTCTGGGAAAACTCTAAGAACTGGTAAAAAATACATGCTTCAGATAACTCCACTCAGGAATAAACAAGGCTTGGGTATTTATACACTGACTTCTGTCAGTCATTGATTGAGGGCTACTTTTGAGGTTGAGAATTCCCCAGCACTTATGGCCTGCTGTGGGAAAGTACCGGTGGTCCTCTGGCAAAATCCCTCGGGCATGAAGACAAGAATACTGGCAGGTGGAAGTTGTTCAGAGCATATTAATATGTAAGGTCTCAGGAGCATAGACAGTGCACGGATATTATCTGTTGTAAAAGTACTTACCAAATCTTCATTCCTAGTACAGATTGGTGGCACCGAGCTGGATTTCCTTTTCTGCAGAATCTTAATTGTGCTTTCTGATCAGAGAGACATTCCTGTTTCACTACTTAAAAGACAACAGTGAGGGCCGGGCGCGGTGGCTCACGCCTGTAATCCCAGCACTTTGGGAGGCCGGAGGCCGAGGCAGGCGGATCACGAGGTCAGGAGATCGAGACCATCTTGGCTAACACGGTGAAACCCCGTCTCTACTAAACATACAAAAAATTAGCCAGGCGCGGTGGCGGGCGCCTGTAATCCCAACTACTCAGGAGGCTGAGGCAGGAGAATGGCGTCAACCCGGGAGGCGGAGCTTGCAGTGAGCCGAGATAGCGCCACTGCAGTCCGGCCTGGGCGAAAGAGCGAGACTCCGCCTCAAAAAAAAAAAAAAAAAACAAAAACAAAAAAGACAACAGTGACTAACATTAATTCATTGCACTTGGGTGAAGAAGCTGTCATCATAGACCCCTTTCCCCTCTGCCCTGCTACCCCAATCTCAGCGCCATGAGCCAGACACAGCTGAACTTCCATCTGAAGACTGACACCTATAACTGCACAGAGCACTACAAGGGAGAGTCCTGATAAACGTCATCAACTTGGCCCAGTAGTTTTATTTTCAGTGTTAAGGACTATGAAATCTACCGTGCCTCTCATACTGTCACCTTAGAACCCAAATGCAAATCTCTCTGGACCCTCTTTCTCATCTGTACTCCTTTACACATACTGTCTTGCACTTCCTCTCCTGCACTAGTTGCAACTCCTCCTTCCAAACCACTTAGCTGTGCCCTTTGGAGGTGCCCAGTAGCCTCTGAATTGTCACCAGATACTTCCTTTACCTCCTTGCTTTATAAGAAACTTTATTTTCCTTGCCCTGTAGTTGGGAACATTGCAGAATGCCATTTCTGAATATTTTCATCAGAATCCTCTAAGCCTGAGCTGTGTTATTGAACTTATTATAAAACCATGTAGATTGGTGCCACTATAAATTCTTGGTCATCAATGTTAAAATATCAAATAGACTCTTGGCTCAGCTCTCCTGGCTTGCTGGATTTTCCTGGTTTGTGGCAACTAGTTCCAATATTATCCATTCTCCTCATATTCTTGACCTTCTCCTGGGTCCTTGTTCTCAGCAAATGATTTTATTTCCTTCTTCACAAATAAATTAGAGGCCATTGGTCAAGACTTCCATACATGTTCTGTCATCAAATCAATCCTCATCCTTTCCTTTTTCCCTAATGTTGTGTGGCAGGAGGCTAATCCCTTTGTGCTCCTGTTGTCTGGATCCATCCCTTCTTCTCAAGAATCTTAACTTGGCCCTCTTTCTCCAACTTTGAAGCTCCCCATTACCAATTAGCATTTTAGCATGCCCAAACCCAAGTCAACCAAATAAGACTAAATAAATACAAAAAAAAATCTCAATCCACTGTCCAGTAAAAAAATTGGACTTCTCAAAGAGAGGTCTGGCCTTCATCCCTGACTCTTGAGAGGTAACCTCTAAACCCTTGGAATTTCTAGAATGATAGGAGTGCCTTTGTTGTTCAAGGCAGGCCCTATGAGCATCTGATATTTACTCAAAATTCTGAACACACTGGGCTGGGGCTGTGTCCCCAGAGCTGGGCATAGCCCATGCTGCAGATCTCATAGGTTGGAGTCAGGTGCCTGAGGTTCTCCCAGTCTGGTGTTGCACACTGGTGGCTCTATAGTTTGAAGGTCCTTGGGCAGCCCTGCCCCCATGGCTCCACTAAGCATTTCCCTAGTGGAGGCTCTCTGCAGTGGCCCCAGTTCCACAGTTCTGCTGGTCATTGACCAAGTGGGGGCTTTATTCAACACCTCTACCCCTATGATAGCTCTCAGTCCAGGCCTCTGATGGCTCTCTGAGGCATCCTGTGAAATCTTGGTGGAGGAAGCATTGCCTCCACAGCTCATGCACTCTGTGCACCTGAAGAATTAGTACCATGTGGACAATGCCAAGACTCACTGCTTGCACCCTCTAGAGAGTGCCCCACCTGGGCCCACCTGAGCCCACCTGAGCCACAGCTATGGTGGCCAAGAAGTGCTACACCAGAATTCAGGGATCGCAGATTTGAGGTAGCCCTGGGCAGCAAGCCCCAAGGTCCTGCAGGTGCCCTGGGAACCTCTCTCAAAGCCATTCTGCCCTTAAACTCCCGGAATTCTGGGCCTGTGATTGGCATGATGCCAGCCTTGAAGATCTCTGGAATTCCTCTGGGGTCTCTCCCATTGTCTTAATGAATAGCACCTGGCTTCCTTCTGGCCCTACTAATCTCCCGATGAGACAGTCTCTTGGCCACATGCTTGATTTTCTCTCCTAAATATCTTTTTTTATTCTTTATATGACCAGGCTGAGAATTTCCCAAATATTTATGTTCTGCTTCCCTTTTGATTATAAATTTCATCTTTAAATTGTCTCTCTCATCTTAAATTTTACTATAAGCAGTAAAGAGAAGTCATGCAGTACCCTGAGTACTTGGTTGCCTAGAGATTTCTTCCACCAAATACCCTAGTTGATTGCTCTTAAGTTCTGCCTTCCACAAAGTTATAGTACATGGACACAGCTCAGTCAAGTTCTTTGTCACTTTATAACAAGGATGAACCTTCCTCCAGTTTCCAAACCTTGTTTCTCATTTCTGTCTGAGACCTCATCACTGTCCATATTTCTACCAACATTCTGTTCATGGACACTAAAGTAATCTCTAAAAATACTGAGGCTTTTTCTAGTGCTCTCCTCTTCTTAGTCTCACCAGAATCACCCTTAATCATCCGCTCACAGCTATACGAACTTTTTCCAACATTCACTTCAAAACTGTTCCATCCTCTACCCATTACTCAGTTCCAAAGATTCTTCTGCATTTTTAGGTATTTTTTATAGCAACACCCCACTCATCTGGTACCAATTTGTCTTAGTCCATTTGTGATACTATAATTCTGTGTTACAGAATACCATAAACTGGGTAATTTATAAAGAACATGAATTTATTTCTCACAGTTCTGGAGGCTGGGAAGTCTAAAATCAAGGTACTGGCAGGTTCAGTTATGTGGTGAGGGCTACTCTCTGCTTCCAATAATGTGTCTTGTTGCTGCATCCTCTGGAGGGTAGGGATGCTGTGTCCTCACATGGCAGAAGATGGAAGCACATGCAAACCAAATGCTGTGTGGAACTTCTTTTATAAGGGTCTTAATCGTATTCATGAGGGAGGAGCCCTTATGGCCTAATCACCTCTTAATACTATCACATTGACAAAACCTGAATTTTGGAGGAAACACATTTAAATCATAGCAGACCCTAACTCCTTGCAGTTGGGTCAGAAATCTTGGGCAGACTTGGAAGTCTGAAGGAGTGTATCTTCAGTGTCACAGTCTGAACTCAGGGTACCCACATTTCTTTCCCAGCTACTACTGATATGTCTTTCCCTCTTCTTGGCTAAAATTTTTGAGAGACATCTACAAAACCCTTCTTTATTTCCTTTCCTATTCATTCCTAAACCCACTGAAATTGAGTATCTGCCCATACTACTCCAGTGATATTCCCCATAGCTAACCAATGCTCACCTTGTCACTAAATCCAATGAACAGTGACATTCTCAGCTAATTCGTCAGAAATATTCACCACTCTATCCTTGAACCACTCTTATCTTTTGGTTTCTGTAATACCACATCTCCTGTTGCCTTCCTACCTCTGGTCACTACTTCTCAGCTTTCTTTATAAGTACCTCTTCCTTAATCTGCCCCATATATTTTTACCTTTCCCAGTGACTCTGGGTGATTTCATGCATATTCCCAGTTCTATAGCTTAGCCTTACATTTTCTCCTTAGCTTCACTCAAATTCCCAATTCTGTACCTTAGCCTTACACTTTCTCCTTAGCTTCACTCAAATATCAACATGACTACTTGAATTTAAGTTAGACTACAAGCTCCATGAGTCTTGGAATTTGTTCACTGCTATATTCCCAGGACATAGCCCAGTGCCTGGCATAGTAGGTGCTCTGTAAATATTTATTGAGTGGGTGAATAAATGAATTAGCATATTATGTTTCATAGGCATCTCAAGCTCAATGTGTCCATAAATGAACTTGTTAATATACCTCTTAATATTAACTTGTTAATATACTTCCCCTGCAGTTCCTTGTCTCAATAAATGGTGCCACCATCCTCTCAGTTGCCCAAGCTAGAATACTTGAGAGTTATTCTTGACTTCTTTCTCTCCCTCTCCTCTATATCCAATCCATCATCAAGACTTGTCAATTCTTACTTCCTAAAAAAATCTCTCAATTTCATCTGTTTCTTTCCATTGCATAGGCAATGCATTAGTCCAGTCACTATTATCCATTACTAGGACTACTCTATTAGCTTCCACATTGTTCTCCCTGCCTTATCCCTTGCCTCCCTATCCATTATTCACAGTACAGCCAAAGTGATGCTTCCAAATACAAAGCTTATCATGTCACACACGAACCTTTACAAACTTTCTTCTACACTTGAAATGACGCTCAAACTCATAATGTGGCTTACAAGACCCACCCTGATCTGGTCTCAGCTACCACTTTGTCCTCATTTTTAATCTTTTCTCTTACCTGCCTCTCTCAATTTATGTCCTAGTCCTACTGAATTTTCATTTCAGTTACTCAAACCCATCATACTCTCTCCACCTCTCACTCCAGGTCTTTGCATATATTATTTTCTCTTTCTCTCTGCAACACTCTGCACTGTTTAGTAATGAACAACTTTATCTTCCTGATTCCACTAACAAACTTACTTCTGCATCCAAGTTTCCCTCTTCCTATCCAGTTATAGGCAAAGAGTCTCCCCTTTCTATACAAAATCAACATCTCTACATTTAATCTCAATCGTACTTTCTTCTATTTACTCCAATAGCTTGTTCCATCAACTTTCTCTTCTGTCCTATACCTTCAAGTTCTCCCTCTTTGGTGGTCCTTTTTCTCCTGCTTGTAAAGAATCTCGAGTTCCTCCAAATTTAAAAAGAAAAAAAAGTTCTGTTGACTCTAGATCACCTCTCTGGCAACTGTATTAATTCTCTCTGTTCCTTTGAGCCAAGCTTCTTAAGAGATAACTATAATACACTTATATTCACTGTCTATATTTCCTCACCTTCAACTCACTCTTCAACTTACTGCTCCTTTGCTACTCCTCTGAAAGGACTCATGCAAAATCCACCAGTGACATCCATGTTGCCAAATCAAATAGACATTTCTCTATTGTGTCCCTGGAATCTTTCTTTTGCAGTTAACCTGTTGAGCTCTGATTTCTGGCAACTTTTATTATCTTGACTTTTATGCAGTTGTTTTCTTTCCATCAGCCCCCACATTCAAGTAATTATCAACTTCTGCCAAATTGATATTCAACATAATTTTTGAGCCTTTCCTTTTCCCTCCATACCTCCATACTTCCACTGCCTTGATTTAAGCTTTTACTATTTCTCAGTTGGATATTACAAAGGTCTCCTAACAGGTCTTCTTGCTTCTAGTCTTGCCTCATTAAAAATGTATTTATTCTTCCACCACAATCAGAAATGTTATCTATTGGCCGGGTGGTGGCTTGCGCCTGTAATCCTAGCACTTTGGGAGGCTGAGGTCGGTGGATTACTTGAGGTCAGGAGTTCTTGACCAGTCTGGCCAACATGGTGAAACCCCATCTCTACTAAAAATACAAAAATTAGCCAGGCGTGGTAGCTTGCGCCTGTAATCCCAGCTACTTGGGAGCCTGAGGCAGGAGAATCGCTTGAATCCAGGAGACCGAGGTTGCAGTGAGCTGAGATCGTGTCACTGCACTCCATCCTGGGTGACAGAGTGAGATTCCATCTCAAAAAAAAAAAAGAAAGAGAGAGAGAGAAATGTTATCTATCATGACATCTGGCTTCATCACTCTCTTTCTTTAAAACCTTAAATATCTCTTCACTGCCTATACAATAAAGTTCAGGCTTCTTAGTGTGGCATACAAAGTCCCCTATGACCTAGCCTCTGCCTATCATATAAGTGTCGGGCATCTTTTATTTCATACTATATCCTTAAATAAAACCAAATAGCTTGTAGACACATATACAATACATACAATCTATGCTTTTCACCAATACTTTGATAATGCTGATTCCCCTGTCTACAATATTTTCCCCATCTTTCTTTGCTTCAGGGTCTCTCCTCTCCCATACTACCCTAAAAATGCCCCAGATATTATTATTTACCATTATATTGAAATTCCCTATTTAAATACCTTTCTACCACTAGAGTGTAAGCTCTTTAAAAACAGGGATTTCATCCTCAGCAGCTAGTACAGTGCTTAGAGGGAACTGAGGCTCCAACTTCATAAGGAGGTCATTATTGAATAGCCAGTTCTCTGATAGCTGTTTAGTTATTTCTAATCAGTGACTATTGTAGTTGGGAGGAACCTTCTGGGTCATTCAGCCTTCCCTCACAGCCAAGATAACACACAATTAAATATGGTAGACCATTCCAACCAACAGTTCTTATTTCAGTACATATGGTGCCTTCCAATGACAGTAGAAATTAATATCATTAGTTTCTTAGAAAGCAATTTAGTGACATGTATGAATATTTACATGTGTTTATATTTCTATTGTATTTTTTACATTTTTATTCCTTAAATGTTTATGTTTTTATTCTTAGCAATGTCTGTCTCAGAAATCTCTTGTCAGAAAACTATCCAAAAATATGGGGAAAAATTATTACATAGTAATTGTCATTAGAAAAATACTCATATAATAAGGAACATTAGAAATAGACAACAGCAGGGGAGTTATTAAGTAAATTATGATGCATTCATAAAATAGAAATCGAAGAGTGGAGCAAGATGGCCAAATAGAAGGCTCTACCAAGTGTCGCCCATGCAAGAACACCAAATTTAACAACTATCTACATGAAAAAGTACCTTCATAAGAACCAAAAATCAGGTGAGCACTCATAGTGCCTAGATTTAACTTTATATCACTGAAAGAGGCACTGAAGAGGATAGGAAAGACAGTCTTGAATCACTGATTTCACCTGTCCCCCATCCCCTGGCAGTAGCTGTGTGGCATGGAGAAAGAATATTTGTGTTTGGGAGAGGCAGAGAGCAGTAATTGTAAGACTTTGCATTGAACTCAGTGTTACCCTGTCACAACTAAAAGTAAAACCATGCTAAACTCAGATGATGCCTGCCCATGGAGGGAGCGTATAGACTAGCCCAAACTAGAGTGGAATCACACATCCCAGCAGTCAGAACTTGAGTTCCAGCAAGACTTCCCACCATGGGACAAAGTGTTCTTAAATGTGAAAGGCAGTCTAGGCCACAAGGAGTGCAACTCCTAGGTGAGTCTTAGCGCTGAGCTGAGCTTGGAACCACTGGAATTGAGGGGCATATAACCTACTGAGACACCAGCTGGGGAGGATAAGGGAGTGCATGTACCACCCCTCCCCAACCCCAGGCTGCATAGCTTGTGACTCAAAAAGAAACCCCTTCCTTCCACTTGATGAGAGGAGAGAGAAGAGAGGATTTTGTCTTGTATCTTGAAAGCCAGCTCAGCCATAGTAGGATAGAGCATTAGTAAAAGTCATGAGGCCCCCATTCCAGGTCCCAGCTCCTGGACAACATTCCCAGACACATCCTGGGCCAGAAGGGAACCCACTATCTTGAAAGGAAGGACCCAGTTGTGGCAGGACCAATCATCTGCTGACTAAAGAGATGTTTGGCCTTGAATAACCACCAGCAATACCCAGGTAGTAAGCCATGAGCCTTGGGTGAGACTCTGAGACGTGCTGAGTTCAGGTGAGACTCAGCACATTCCCAGATATGGTGGCTATGGTGAGATACTCCCTCTGCATGAGAAAAGCAGAGGGAAAAGTAAAGGAAACTTTTCTTGCACCTTAGGTAACAATTTGACTTACAGTGAGGTAGAGTACTGAGCAAGATCTGGGGGTTCCCAATTCTAGGCCTTGGCACCTGAACAGAATTTCTGGACCTGCCCTGGGCCAGAGGGTAGCCCACTGCCCTGAAGGGTGAGGCCCGGGCCTGGCAGCATTCACCACAAACTGATTGAAGAGCCCTTGGGCCTCAAGTTAACATCAGCAGTAGCCTGGCAGTACTTCCTGTGGGCCTGTGGTGGTGGTGGTGGTGGTGGCCATGGGTTGAGGTTCCTCTGTTTATAAAAAGGGGAGAGAATAGTTGGAAGGACTGTGTCTCATGGTTTGAGTGCCCTGTCAGCCACAGTAGAATAGAACACCAGGTAGATTTCTAAGGTTTTTTATTCCAGCTCCACCCAGGGCCTGAGGGAACTTGCTTCCTGGAAAGGAAGGACACAATTATGGCTGGCTTCACAATCTGCTAATTGTAGACTCTTAAGGGCCTTGAGTGAACATAGGTGATAGGCAGGTAGTGGTTGAAGCAGGCCTTGGGTGGGGCCTAATGCTGTGGTGCCTTCAGGTCTAACCCAGTGCAGTCCCAGTCTTGGTGTTCTCTCCCCCTCCTTCCAGCTCCAGGCAGCTTAGCACAAAGAGAGAGAGAATCTGTATGTCTGGAAGAAAGTAAGGAAAGGGAACAAAAGTCTCTCCCTGGTAATCCAGGTAAATCTTCTGGATCTTATCCAAGACCATCAAGGTGGTCCCTATATGAGTCTGCAAGAAGCACAGTATTACTGGACTAGTAGTGCTCCCTAATGCAGATACAGCTTAGATCACAATACCAAAGTCCTTTTGAATATCTGGAAAGCCTTCCCAAGAAGAATGGGTACAAATAAGCCCAGACTGCAAAGAATAAAATAAATACCTAACTCTTCAATTCACAGACATCGAAGAACATCCACACCCATCAAGATCATTCAGGAAAACATGACATCACTAAATGAACTAAATAGAGCACCAGGGACCAATCCTGGAGAAACAGAGATATATGACCTTTCAGACAAAGAATTCAAAATACCTGTTTTGATGAAACTCAAAGAAATTCAAGATAATGCAAAGAAGGAATTCAGAATTCTATCAGATAAATTTAACAAAGAGTTTGAAATAATTAAAAAGAATCAAACAGAAATTTCAGAGTGGAAAAATGCAATGATGAAGAATGCATCAGAGTCTTCTAATAGCAGAATTCATCAAGCAGAAGAAAGAAATAGCATGAAGACAGGCTATTTGAAAATATACAGTCAGAGGAGGCAAAAGTAAAAAGAATTTTAAAAAAAGGCTTGCCAGCAAAGTCTAGCAAATAGTCTCAAAAGGGCAAATCTAAGAGTTATTGGCCTTAAAGAGGAGGTAGAGAAAGATATAGGAGTAGAAAGTTTATTCAAAGGGATAATAATGAGAACTTTCCAAACCTAGGAAACATATTGATATCCAAGTACAAGAAGGTTATAGAACAGCAAGCAGATTTAATCCAAAGAAGACTACCTCAAGGCATTTAATAATCAAACTTTCAAAGGTCAAGGATAAAGAAAGGATCCTAAAAGCAGTAAGAGGAAAGAAACAAATTACACACAAAGAGTTCCACTACCTCTGGCAGCAGACTCTTCAGCAGAATCCTTACCAACCAGGGGAGAGTGGTATGGAATATTTAAAGTGCTGAAGGGAAAAAAAGCCTATTACCCTACAGTAGTATATCCAGTGAACATATCCTTCAAACATAAAGGAGAAATAGAGACTTTCCCAGACAAGTTAAAGCAAAAGGGAGTACTTCAATCAGAAAGAAAAGTATGTTAATGAGCAATAAGAATTCATCTAAAGGTATACAACCCACTGGTAATAGTAAGTACACAGAAAAACACAGAATATTATGGCATCGTAACTGTGGTGTGTAAACTACTCTTATCTTAAGTAGAAACACTGAAAGATGAACCAATCAAAAATAACTACAAGAAATATTTAAGGCATAGACAGTACAATAAGATATAAAGAGAAACAACAAAATACTAAAAAGCAGAGGGAGAAAGTTAGAGTGTAGAGTTTTTATTGGTTTTCTTTTTGCTTATTTGTTTATGCAGTGTTATTATTAGCTTAAAATAATGGGTGATAAGATAGTATTTGCAAGCTTCATGGTAAGCACAAATCAAAAAACACAGAACAGATACACAGAAAACAAAAAGGAAGTAATTAAATCATACCACCAGAGAAAGTTTCCTTCAATAAAATGAAGACAGAAAGGAAGGAAAGAAGGAAGAGAAGAGCACAAAACAACCAGAACACAAATAACAAAATGGCAGGAGTAAGTCCTTACTTATCAGCAATAACATTGAACATAAATAGACAAAACTCTCCAATTAAAAGACAGAGTGGCTAACCCAATGATCTGTTGCCTACAAGAAAACCACTTCACCTAGAAAGACACAGACTGAAAACAAAGACATAGAAAAAGATATTCCATGCCAATGGAAATTAAATAAAAGCAAAGAAGAGTTTGGAAGTTCCTTAAAAAACTAAAAATAGAGCTACCATATTATCCATCAATCTCACTGCTGGATATATACCCAAAAGAAAGGAAATCGGTATATCAAAGAGATACCTGCACTCCCATGTTTATTGTGGCACTATTCACAATAGCCAAGATTTGGAAGCAATCTAAGTGTGCATCAACAGATGAATGGATAAATAAAATGTACGTATATACAATGGGTACTATTCAGCCATAAAATAGAATGACATCCTGTCATCTGCAAAAACTTGGATGGAACTGGAGGTCATAATGTTAAGTGAAATAAGCCAAGCACAGAAAGACAAATTTCACATGTTCTCTCTTATATGTGGGAGCTAAAAATTAAAGTGACCTCATGGAGATAGAGAGTAGAATGATGGTTCCCAAAGGTTGGGAAGGGTAGTGGAAGGGGAGTGTGGATAGTTAATGTGTACAAAAAAGTAGATAGAATGAATAAGACCTACTATTTACAACCACAAGAGGGTAACTATAATCAATAATAATTTAGTTGTACATTTAAAAATAACCAAAAGAGTATATAATTTAATTGAGGTGATGGATACCCATTTACCCTGATGTGATTATTATGCATTGCATGCCTGTGTCAAAATATCTCATGCTCATGTAACCCAGAAATATATATGTATATATATACATATATAAAACACATATATACACACACACACATCTACTATGTACTCACAAAAATTTTTTTAAAAAAGTTTAAAAAGTATAATAGAAGTTAAATTTTGTCACTTTAAATGAAAAGTCACAATATAAAATCATCTATTCTATATAATGTTAATTATACAAAAAATGTTTAGGAAAAAAAAATCACTGAGAAGAAATGGTTGTTGATTGTGGATGCTATATATTCTCATTTTACTTTCTAAATTTTTCTAGTAAGCATGGATGATTCTTATAATAAGAAAAATTATGGGTTTTATTTTTCTTTGTTATTTGTTTTAAGTTCTGTTATTATTGTTGTTTTAAGGAACTATTACCGTTGTCTTAAGGAGTAAGAAAAAAGATAAACTCAGTTAACTTCAGGCAGAGTAGATCAGATTCAACAAACATGAACAGAGTTTTTACTAAAAGTTGAGACTAGGCTACAAATATAGATGAAACTAGTGAGGCCTCTACCAGGACACGTAGATGTAGAAAATACTCAGAAGAGCAGGAACTGGTTTATTTAATAACCTCATTCTCCTCACGTGCTTCCAGCACCTCACCTGTGTTTCCATGATTTCTCTCTTAAGCATAGCCCAGCACACCCAATATAGTCCATCGCTTAAGCCCAGTGCAGTTTGTGTGTTCCATTCCTTATTCCCTTTTTGCCCACGCCTTTGTCAATCTTGTCTCACAGCAATTCAGAGTACACCAGCTCTATGCCTTCTGCCTCAAACTTTATTTTACAAATGGGAACACTGAGGTACTTGGAATTCAAGTGACACTGTCAAGGTTTCACAATGAATTAGTAACACACCTAGGAATAGAACTCAGGCCTTATGGCTCCCGTGACCACACATTCTAGTGTTCTCCAACTCAGTTTGCTAAAGGGACAGCTTCTTTCTTAAGCTTTTCAGAATAAGAGCCCTTAATTCAAAGCAAGTTTTTTTAAAAAAAGAAGAAGAAAGGTAGAATCTCCAGGAACTAATGAAAACAGAAACTTGTTTAGGGACTTTGAGAACTACTTGCACCCTGAAGTTATTCCCAGAGGACAGGTTGGAGAAACAAACAAGAGTCAATTACTATTTTGACTCCAATTATGTGGTTAAAAAAATAATAATAGAAACCATTCCCGCCTTTCATCCCTTGAATACTGTTGACTAAAGGAGGAGCTGATTAGAGCTGTTAGTCTGGAATGCTGAGCAGCTCTGGGCAAGAACCGTGCGTTCCAAGCTGACCCTGTCCCACCAGGAAAAACAGGGTGAAAACAGTCATTGATCACACATTCCCAACTCTTTGCTTCACCCTGACAAACAGAGTATGTTTACTAAGATTGCTATAAAAGGTATTTATCTAATTAGAGACTGTTTCCCCCTTTTATTAGTAAGCAATTAGACCACACTTTAGTACATTAAGGAGGTTTTGTGAATCCAACTGCAAGCATATAAATTCTGTTATTGTGTAATTGTATATTGGGCATAAAACCACAGATTTTCTTCTACTTTGGCTTGACCATTTTTTAAAAGCAATTTAGGGTTTTCAAAGCTAATGCTTATGTGGTGAGTGTTTTTTAAAAGCCTAGGGTAATACATATAATTTAGCCATTCTTTGGTTTTAAATCCAAACCAGAAAATGACACAAATTCCATACAAACATGTATCAACTATTTATTCTGTCCTTCTTCATCTCAAAGCCTGGGGATAATTCTTTTGTTAAGTACAATGGTAGCATAGTATCACTCTTTAGCATAGAAACCATAAACTTTATCTAGCCAAATAATTCCACAAACCCCTGAATTAAACCTCTGTAGCTCATGTGCATATGACTGGATTCATCTTAATTACATTATGGCCAGGCACGGTGGCTCACCCCTGTAATCCCAGCACTTTGGGAGGCCGAGGTGGACAGATCACGAGGTCAGGAGCTCGAGACCAGCCTGACCAACATGGAGAAACCCCATCTCTACTAAAAAAAAATACAAAAAATTAGCCGGGCATGGTGGCACATGCCTGTAATCCCAGCTACTCGGGAGGCTGAGGCAGGAGAATCACTTGAACTCGAGACGCAGAGTTTGTGGTGAGCCAAGATCATGCCATTGCACCGCAGCCTGGGCAACAAGAGTGAAATTCATTCTCAAAATAAATAAATAAATAAATAACATCATGTTTGCAAGACAGGAGTGGGGAAGAAATGGAAAGATCATATCACTTTGACTATCAGCTTATTAGGTTAAATATATCAGGTTAGATAGAGCCATATGACATTACCAATATTTGACTATTTCTTACTTACAAATATGGTAATTTCCTATGGTTCAATTGCTATATATGTTGCACCAAGTTTTCACAAGGACACCATAAATGCCAAAATAAAAACCATTGACTCACACTCTTAATAAACAACTTTTTCATTTATAAAAGTATCCAAAGACTTTGTAAATTACATTGGTAACATATTTTACTACTAGATGCCCTTGAGACCTTAGGCAAAACACTAGGCTTTTGGGACCTTGTTTCCTTCTCTGACAGAGGAGAGGGTTGAACTAGAACTAAAAAAAAAAAAAAATTAAATTTCCATAAAAGGCATCACTAATCAAAATTAGGACACAGTGTAGATAACAATGCCATTATGTTAAGGAAGCTGAGATCTATGTCATTATGGAAATATTTCATAGTATTGCATTTTTATATGCTCTAAGAAACCTTTAAAGGCACTGAATTAGACAATGAAGAACTGATTTACTAATTGACTGTATGATAATAAAAATTAATAATACTAATGAGAACAACTAACATTTATTGACTACAAAATATGAGTTACACACAAATATGATTTGGCTCTGTGTCCCCACCCAAATCTCATCTCGAATTGTAATCCCCCATAACAGGGGAGGGACCAAGTGAAAGGTGATTGGATCATGGGTCCTTATTCCCCATGCTGTTCCTGTGATAGTGAACTCTCACAAGATCTGGTTGTTTGATGAGTGTGGGACTCTTCAGCCTTTGAGCACTCTTCTCTCTCCTGCCACCTTGTGAAGAAGGTGCCTGCTTCCCCTTTTGCCATGATTGTAAGTTTCCTGAGACCTATTCATCCATGCAGAACTGTGAGTCAATTAAACCTCTTTCCTTTATGAATTACCCAGTCTTGGGTAGTATGTTTATAGCAGTGTGAGAATGGACTAATACAACACTTAAGCACCTATTACACATTATCTCATTTGATTCTTATACCATACACACAAGCAGCAATGTGCTGGTAAATGCTTGATAAACAACTATCTCAGAGGACAAACAGCCCAGATTTGTAGTGTTTGCTGATTTCTACAGTGTAAATATTTTCACCTTGGCTGAATTCCAGCTACCAACCTGACTTCACAGACACAGCAGGACTAGGAAGAGACACCCAGTAGCATACTATTATATAGTATTTCCACCATACAAGTACAGTAGACATAAGTAACTTCAAGAACACAGATAATAATAAAATTTAGTAAAATAATTAGAAAGTGATGGGTTCTGGGTATTATTTTTGTTTTAACATAAAAGCATAATTTATATAATTTAATTTATAATAAAGGCTGTGTATAAAAACTAGTTCACAAAATTTTTGAACATTTAAGAGTTCTTATGAATCGAGGGCACCACTATATGTGAGGTTGACTTTACTAACCAGTCTTATTGAAAATAGGGAATAGTGGTTGGGCGCAGTGGCACATGCCTGTAATCCCAGAATATTGGGAAGCCAAGGTGGGTGGATCACTAGAGGTCAGGAGTTTGAGACCAGCCTGACCAACATGGTGAAACCCCATCTCTACTAAAAATACAAAAATAAAAAGAAAATTAGCCAGGCGTGGTGGCACATGCCTGTAGCTACTTGGGAGGCTGAGGCAGGAGAATCGCTTGAACCCAGGAGGCAGAGGTTGCAGTGAGCTGAGATCGCGCCACTGCACTCCAGCTTGGGAAACAAGAGCAAAACTCCGTCTCAAAAAAAAAGGAAACAAAAGAAAATAGGGAATAGTAATATACAAAAGGTGAAGAGGTGAAGTAAGTTGCAAAGATTGTCCTCTAGTAAGCTCAAATACTGATTTTCCAGACTGTAAAGCTTAACTCCTTAATTCTGAGGAAGCTTATACAATAGATTTTAAGAACATAACTTTTGTTATAGTAGGTAGCTAGTCAGGCATGAGCAGGGCAGGAGAGGGCTCCCCTCACCCCATCAGGAATGTCAGGCGACCGTCGGGTGATGGTCAGGCAGTTGTTAACTGTCTCTCTAAGATAATAATTGGACTCAGCCAGAGCCAGGGAAAGGCAGTCTCCCTATAGATAGCAAAAACCTGAAACTGGTGATTAGTAGCTTTCCAATAAGCTCTCAGGGATTGGGGGAGTGAGATCAAGCATGTGCATTAAGAGGCAAAGTGGCAGAGTTTAACTGGTATATGACCTTCGTCCAGGAATGCTAGATTGGTAAGGGAAGAAAACCTCAAGTGAGCATGCATAAAATTCCAGTAAACACACTGCGTATGCTCCCCTCCCACATGCTAGCAGGCCATTGTGCATGTAGACAGCACACCCCAAAGGAAGAATCAGGGAAGAAGGGACACAGATCCTGAAAGTATGCCAGTGTATAAAACCCCATGTCAAAAGGTCAAACCACAAACTTGTCTTTCAAGTTGCCCTCTTGGCCCTCTTCCAAGTATACTTTACTTTCTTTTCATTCATGCTCTAAAGCTTTTTAATAAACTTTCACTCCTGCTCTAAAACTTGCCTTGGTCTCTCCTTCTGCCTTATGCCCCTCCATTGAATTCTTTCTTCTGCAGAGGCAAGAATTGAGGTTGCTGCAGACCTGTATGGATTTGCCACAAGTAACACTTTTATATAATCCAAGACATACAAGTTTTTGATTGTAGCTAAAATGGCACTAAGCAAGGCTAAAAGGGAAAAAAGTAAAGCAAGATGAAAATTTAAAGGAATGTTTTCTAGAAGAAGGCCTATTGAGAGAAATGTTACCAATGCAGGTCATTTGGTAACACATTTCTGTTTTATGACATTTTCTAAGGTTAGTCAGAAGGAACTAGTAATTGTAAAAAGAGAAACCAGAACAGTGAACAAGCCAATCTATTCTTACACATCACCAAGTGGTACTGAGGTGCAAAATTCCCATGGGAGGGGCTCACCAGTCTGGAATGATTCAAGGAACGCTCTTTTTTGTTTGCCTACACTGGAGTCTCTGTAAATTATGACAGATATCACCACATTTTTTCCCCAATTGTTTGAGACTTTTTTTTTCCAGATAAAAGAAGGAAAATTCTACATTCATGTTGATAACTTTTTGATCTCTGGGTAATTTCCAATGCATTTTATAAAATAACTTATATAAATGTGGTTGTTACAGAATTTCACCTATTCAGAAGTTTTAAGCATTTTAATTAGACAGTGCTTCGTTGGTATCACTGGATAAGTACTCCAAACTAAGCATAAATGAGTCAAGCTTTCATGCCTTTCATGAAGATTCAGGCTTACTCTGACACTTACCAGACACAAGATCAATGTCTGGCCATAGTAAGTGCTATGTAATCGTTAGCCATTATTATTAGCATTTAGAAGTGCTGTGTTTCTGGTGGGTTACAGATTCATGCTGTGGGCAGAGTTTCCTCAGAATGCTCCTCATATGCAACGTTAGCTACAGGCTGCCAGAATTTGTCCTTTAATAGTACTGGTATGACAAACATTTTCAGTTGGTCTTTGGTGTACTTGGATTTCTGGTGCTAGAAATGTTTTATTACTTATGGAGGCCCATCGTAGAAGCAACATTTTCCCCCAAAAGAGTTTCAGTTCTGGCTGTCTTAGGATTTAGGCTCATAAGGTATTTGGGCTGATGTTGGGTGATGTCAGTTCATGTGAAAACTGTGCTTTTGATAGTACAGCCAGTGCATCTTTTTACGAGGGTTGAGGTCAAAGGAACTTCCTCATGGTAGTTGGAAACTGACTTATTTGTCAATTCTTGCTTTACAATGGGTCTCTAAAAGTTCTCAAAGTAACATATAAACAAATGTAGTACATGTTTCAGTATTTATAGCAAACTGTAAGGTAGACTTATGAGCTTCATTAGAATTGATTACAGAAATGCTCATTTTGTATAATGGGTAGTAAGAACAGTGAGCAGTCTAGGGAGCAACCAGCCTTCTCACACTTTCTGCCTTGAAGTTAGATCCTTTGTATACATCTTTTCTTTTTTTGTAGAGATGGGGTTCATGTTGCCTAGGCTGGCCTTGAACTCCTAGCCTCAAGTGATCCTCCCACCTCGGCCTCCCAAAGTGCTGGGATTACAGGCGTAAGCCATCATGCCTGGCCCATGTTCATCTTATACTTTGTTTTTATGCTTTGCTATTGCTCCCTGTTATTATATTGAATTCATGTTTATTACTAAATTTCTAACCACCTTATCAGAAATGGCAACTCCTTCCATAATTTTACTTATTTGAACATATATAATCTTTTCACCATCATAGCAGCCATTTCAAATCATCTCCTTTTAGAGCTGGTAAAGGCCTTCAGGTTCATTTAGCATAAACTTGTTATTTCACAGTTGAGGAATCAAAGGTCCAGTGAGGTTAAATGTCTTGCCTAAAAAACTCGGCACATCAGCATCTTATTAGTTCTGAACTTTGCATTTTTGAGTAAGTTATAAGCAATGTGTGGAATACCATCCACTTGTAAAATGAATAAACTTTCCTTAACAATTTTAACTTCCTGGAAAGAATTTTTTCAACAGAGCAATAAAATGACATCAGTGAAATCAATCGTGTTGTCTTGATAGGTCATAAAACCTTGGGCAGTGACCACTGAGTGAGAGACAGGACTAGCTGGATTTCCTAGGCTGACTAAGAATCACTAAGCCTAGCTGGGAAGGTGACCGCATCCACCTTTAAACACGGGGCTTGCAACTTAGCTCCCACCTGACCAATCAGGTAGGAAAGAGAGCTCACTAAAATGCTAATTAGGCTAAAACAGGAGGTAAAGAAATAGCCAATCATCTATTGCCTGAGAGCACAGCGGAAGGGACAATGATCAGGATATAAACCCAGGCATTGGAGCAGGCAATGGCTACCCTTTTTGGGTCCCCTCCCTTTGTATGGGAGCTCTGTCGTCACTCTATTAAATCTTGCAACTGCACTCTCTTCTGATCCGTGTTTGTTACGGCTCGAGCTGAGCTTTCGCTCGCTGTCCACCACTGCTGTTTGCCGCCATTGTAGACCCGCTGCTGACTTCCATCCCTCAGGATCTGCCAGGGTGTCTGCTGGGCTCCTTATCCAAGGAGGTGCCCATTGCCACTGCTGATTGGGCTAAAGGCTTGCCATTGTTCCTGCACGGCTAAGTGCCCGGGTTCGTCCTAATCCAGCTGAACACTAGTCACTGGGTTCCACGGTTCTCTTCCGTGACCCACGGCTTCTAACAGAGCTTAACACTCACCACATGGCCCAAGATTCCATTTGTTGGAATCTGTGAGGCCAAGAACCCCAGGTCGAGAACACGAGGCTTGCCACAATCTTGGAAGCGGCCCGCCACCATCTTGGGAGCTCTGGGAGCAAGGACCCCCGGTAACATGAGGAAACAAGATAATGCAGTGGGGGGAGAGTGGTGGTGACTAAGCTGTGCTGTCCAACACAGCTGCTACTAGTTACATGTGGATATCATAATATTTAAGTTAATTAAAAGTAAATAAAACTAAAAATCCATTTCCTCAGTCCTACTAGTCACATTTCATATGTTCAATAGCCATGTGCGACTAGTAGCTATGGTATTAGGCAGCATAGAATATTTAGATAAAGTATCTCCATCATCCCAGAAAGTGCTATTGGACGGCATTAGAAGGTCTGTTTGAATCTCCACTCAACTGCCAATTTTTTTGGAGGCTTCTAAACTGGGAAGCTTCGTCTTTCTTGAGATAGGTGCCAATCCTGACACCAGGGAGATCTCTCAGGGAATGGACAGAGGCTTTCCAGAGTAACAATCTACTCAGCTCCTAAGCTGCACAACAACCCCTGACAAAAGAATTAGACTCAGTAGCTCATGCTCCTGGCTCATCTCACTCTTGCCTTGTTTTGGGAGTGATGGTGCAGGGGAAAGCATGAAAGAGGGAGGGGCCAGAATTTAGCATATCGCAAATAGTCTGAACCTTGCTTAACTTTTTACTTGTCTACAGTCTTCTTACCCCCAACTCCCCAATGTCTTCATCTTCACTAGACAGCAGAGACATGGCCTTGATGAAGTCCAATCACTTTCTGCTTCTTTGGGGCAGGAGGAAGTAATTAGATAGATTCTAGGGAAAGAGATGTGTGAAGACAGGAGCCTCACCAAATTTGCTGAGGTCCTCAACATGGTCAGCTCAGTCAGCTCCACTGAGGGTACAAAGATGGTAAAAATTACTTTATAGGGGCTCCTTTTCCCGGGGGTCCTTTTTATTTTCAGCTCCCCTGACCTGAAGGCCTGAGACTGGGCTTGGCTATCTAAGACCCCTCACTATCCACCTTGGCAGTGTATAGGTCCGCAGGAGACAATAGTCCTTCCCTACCCTGCAATGGAAACGCCATTGTAATTCATAGTAAGGAGTCAATAAAGACTTAACAGGTCTTTCTCCCAGAAGTATTTACATTTCAAAAACTACCTCTGAGCCTTCCTTGTCTCCCTTGCACCCCTCCTCACCGTTTGCTGCCCAGTAAAATGAGGCATTTGAACAGTCATGTATCAGATGGGGACATGCTCTTGGAAATGCATTGTCAGGTGATTTTGTTATTGTGCAAACATCATAGAGTGTACTTATACAAACCTAGATGGTACACCCTACTACACACCTAAGCTGTATGGTATAGCCCATTGCTAATAGGCTACAAACCTGTACAACATGTTACTATTTACACCAGCATCACCACAAACACTTGAGTAATGTGTTGCACTGAGATATTACAAAGTCTAGTATGTCACTTAGGCACTAGGAATTTTCAGCTCCATTATAATCTTATGAGACCAACATCATTGATTGAAACGTTCTTATGCGGTGCATGACGGTAAATGATTTCTAAGTCCACTCCAAGCACTGAAGTTGTCTCACCTGCTGATTCTGAAGAATGCTAATGCCTTAGGTCAAAAAAAAGCTTGCCTGGGCCTGGGAGTTATGGTGAGGCAAGAGATACCTTCTGGCAGTGAAAGTGTCTTCTTACCTCCATTCACATTTTTCCTCAAACTACAGTTGTATTTATTCTCTTTTCCTCTATGTTCATTTATAATCCCACTGATACTACTCTCATAGTTTGGGTTGTTAAAACTGGGATCCTGAAAGCACCTGACAGATTTTGTAAAAGATGGTGTTTGTCTCTGGGTCCAACACACCCAAAATAAACCATGATTTTCAACAATGTGATTCTTTAGAAACCCTCAGCACAGAGTTCTTTCAGAGCAACACTGAAAACTTAAGTATTTCCCCTGGATAACAACAATAGCTGCAATTTATTAAGCAACTCTTATATGACAGGCATGCCTACTTGACTTTTTACAATAAATAGTCCCTCCAACCCTTATCTGCAGGGGATATGTTACAAGGCCCCCAGTGGATGCTTGAAACTTCAGATAGTACCAAACCCTACATAGACTATGTTTTTTCCTATACATACATACTTATGATAAAGTTTAACTTAAAAATTAGACACAGTGAGAGATAAACAACAACCAATAATAAAATAGAACAATTATAACAGTATTCCAGCATAACTGCTCTTGTGCTTTGGTGCCATTATTAAGTAAAATAAAGGATACAAGAACACAAGCGCTTTTATGCCACAACAGTCTGATAACTGAGATGGCTACTAAATCCCTGGATGATTCACATCCTGTGCCAGTTGGAGCAGAGCAGCATAAAATTTCATCACACATCACACTACTTAGAATAGCTCACAATGTAAAACTTATACATTGTTTACTTCTGGAATTTTCCATTTAATATTTTCATACCATGGTTGACTGTGGGTAATTGAAACCGCAAAAGTGAAACCATGGATAAGGGTGGGACTACTGTATAAGTGTTATCTAATTTATCCTAATTCGAATGCCATCTCCATTCTACAAATGTCAAATGAGCTCAGAAAGTCCTGATAATTTGCACTGATTCTTATGGCTAATACTTTGGATCCAGGATTAGAATAAGACTTCATCAATTGCTACAGTACATCTATTTAGCACTCTGCCATTAATTTTTAAATTATGTTCCAAGGAATCCTAAATGTCCTCTCAAGATATTCAAGGCTGTTAAGAGGATTGAGGGTGGGTGGGGGAAGAGAGGAGGGAGAAAGACCGCAAGGTAGCCTCAGTCCCTGTTCATGTCTTGTCTGTCGTGCTCACCTGCCAAATTTAAGCCCAGCATACACTCTTTTAGCTATTTTATGTACTGCATTAGGATTCCACATACTATTTCTCAGCTTAAAAAAAAAAAGGTTCAAAAACCATTGAACATACAGTGTGCTTTCTCCAATGTCCTACTGAAACCATCCCAGCTTTTGTCTATTTATAACTAATTGACATTTACATATGTTAATTGATCCTACCACTGAAGAATGATTAATAGAAAACAAATCATTGTACATCTTTACCTACATCGTCCTTAGTTACAGACTTGGAAATGCTCTGGTGGAAATTGATTATTCAGAGGCATGTGAGGCCGATCCATCAGAAAAGGAAAGAAGGTGCCTGGGATATTGCTGCTTGCTTTCTCTCAAAAAATAAATTAGGTTTAGACAAGATGATCATTTGATGTGTGATGGCCCTTGGATGAACAAAATATATTCATTTAACTTCCTTCCAAACAGATGATTTTCTCAATCAGAGGTAACAGGATTGACTTTCAAAGTAGGGCTTGTTCACTCTTTTTCTCATTTATTAACCAACTACAGGATTTATGGCCTCGTAGTTTTTCTATTAGGTATAACTGCTTGAAAGCCTAAACGGAGATAAGTTTCAATTTGTTTTTTTACTTCCTACAGTATTCTTTCTAAAAAAGTGAAGATACTCCTCCAAAGATTTCTTATTTTGCTTATGGCATTCTTTGAGTTTCACCTGTGTGGGGTGGGGTGGGGCGGTACGCACATGCATATTCACATATAGGCCAAGAGGTGCCTGCGTATAATAGGATCTCCGTGTATTTTGGACCAACATTTTGGAACAATGAACATTATGATGGGTTCAGGACATGCTACCCCAAAATGTTACCTTGGCATATCGAATGTTTAAGCTGAAGAAATTTGAGAAAACCACAGAAGCAGGAAGGTCTCTCTGACCTTCCCCCTTTCTTCCCCCACTGAAGCAAGTCATAAAACCTAGGAAGGATTTTCAGACCTTCCCTGAAGCAGGTCATAAGACCCTCAGGTGAGAGGTGCCTTTCCTATACCATGAAGGAAAGGAGCATTCTTATCTCTGAAGACACAGGAACACAGAGAAGAATCTGAGCAAACATGTCTTGCTTAGTTTACTACCATTAGATCACACCCCTTTTGTGCTCTCACATTTCTTCATGACTCTTCTCTCTTCATCAAATCTATTATAAAAAAAATTAAAGTTACCTGTTTTTTGCGGTCTTTATTTTCTTATGAAGGCCCCCCTGCTACATAAAACTTATATTAAATATATTTGTATGGCTTTTCTCTTGTTAATCTTTTGTTACAGTGGCCTCAGCAACAAACCTAGAGTGGGTAGAGGAATATTTTTCTTCCTCCTACAAACGTTAGTTACTTGGTGCAAGACGAAGCTGCCCTCAGTAACCTACTTGTTCAATCCATTCACCAAACAGCGATCAACAATAATAACCAAATATCTTTTATGAGTAGACAGAGAGGGAAATCGGAGATGTTCAGACAGGAGATAAATGACTGCTTGACAAATAAATTGTAAAGCAGATTCCAGCAAAGACTATAAAATCAGAGTTTTAGAAATGTAGAGGCCATTTCTTCTTGGAATTCTGTGCTTGTAGCCATAAGATTTGGATCCTACCCTCTAGGACTCTGTGATCCAGAGGGAAGATGAGGCATTTAGCTCATGATGATGATTGAATGTCTCTGTTTGCCAAAAATGACTCTGATCCTTGTACGGAGGAATAAATCTTTATCTAGAGTAGAAAGTTGCCAAGGGTGAGAGGCATGCTGTGACATGCTTGGTCAGAAAATGAAGCTGAAAAAATATACTCTGGAAGAGAGGATATAGTTTTATGTTCCTGGGTGAAATGGCATGTCGTTTATAGTAAAGTGGGTATTTTTTTGGTCATTTCAATAAGTTTTCCAGGGAAAGAGGGAAGGAAATTGATGATGCCCTGGGGAGGTAAGGAAGATTGACTGGGAAAGGGCATCAACCCCTCCAATGCATGGGAAAATTACAGCAGGGATCTTTCTAAGAGTCAGCCTAGCAATACCACCTGGACCCAAGGAATCTGCAGGCACAGCACCCAGAAGAGAGTGATACCAAAGAACTGATGGGCCATTAAGATAAGAAAGACGTTATTTCCTGTGAATTGCAATTATGCATATGGTATGTTTTCTAAGATGTATCAAATCTGACGGCAAATGTGGGGCAGTAGGCCCACTGCTACACTTTCCCATGTGCAGGAGTAGGAGACACTCAATACTAAATGATAAATAATACTCCCCCAAAATAACCAGGGAAAGTTCTGTCACTTATCTCTTCAATAGGAGGCTTACTAAGTGTTTTAGTCTGTTTTGTGCAGTTATAACGAAATATCCAAGACTGAGTTATTTATAAAAAGCAGATTTATTTCTTACACTTCTGGAGGCTGGGAAGTCCAGGGTTGAGAGGCCTGCATCTGACAAGGCTCTTCTTGTTGTCAAGAAGGGCATGTTACAAATGTTAGTTACTTGGTGCAAGAGGAAGCTGCCCTTGGGTAACCTACTTGTTCAATCCATTCACCAAACAGCAATCAACAATAATAACCCACGGCAGAAGGGCAAGAGAAGGTGTGTATGAGAGAGCAAGAGAGAGCTGAACTCACTTTTATAACAACCCACTCTTGTGATAACTAACTCAGTCCTGTGATAATGACATTAACCATTCATGAGGGCAGAACCCTAATAACCTAATTACCTCTTATAAGGCCCCACCTGCCAACACTGTTGCATTGGGGATTAAGTCTCCAACACAAGAACTTTGGGGGACACATTCAAACCATAGCACTAAGCAATTGAAAAAAACAATAGTTACAAATGCCAATGGTTCAGTAACTTGTTGAAGGTCACACAGCTAGGTGGAGGTGCCACAATTAAATCTACATATTTCTGGATTCAAACCCAACATTCTTTGTACTTTTTCTCACCACCTCTCAAACAGGAAGGTAGGAAGATAGAGCAAAGTTTGTGGTGATGGCCAAATTCATAGTAGAAACAAAATTATGTTATGGGATTTCCTTCCTTTTGCTACTACAAGTGTTTTTTTAATATTCTAAGAAGGCATTCATTCACTTAGCCCAGGGAAGGAAAAATAAGTCCTGTTCTTTGATCTATGAAAAGTATTAATTTATTAAAAAATAAGATCAATAAGCACAACTTACAATGAATATTTGACTTTTTAGGTAATTATTATTTGCTTAACCCTGGATACAGAATCAATTTTTCCCCCCAGGGGAAAGTGGAGAAAACCAAAATTAATTAAGAACCAATAGCAACATAATTTAGTGTGGTTTCTGTTACACTATAAAAGACCCAAATTGCCCACTTTTTAATTTAAGTGTAGAGAACAGAACATTTTATTCGTAAGAACAAACAATACTAAATAGTTCCTTATGAAGGCTGGACGACTATAAGTTATAGTAGGACGAATATTTGAAGGGCAGAGCTATCTATGAGACCCTCTATCTGACAAGCTGTCAGTGGGTTATGCTCTACCATTAGCTTTGGATTATTTAGCTGCATGAACTTGGGCAAACTATAAAAGTTGGAAACTAAAGAAAACAGAGGCTTTCTACTCTGAGAGCTTCATGTTATAGATGAGGAAATGAAGTCCCACCCATAGTAAACAACCTGCTGACTGTCAAATAAATAGTGGAGAACTAATACTGTCCTGTGCCTCACTCACTTAACTTCTTGGTGCCTCCGCTTCCTACTCTGTAAAGAGAATAAATTTAAATAGGAAATTCATGATACCATGGAAGAAACACATGACTTGGAGATTGATATCCTGGGTTTGAGAGCCCTTCTCCAGTACCTGTCCATTGACCTCAGGCCAGTCCTGAGGCCTGAGGTCTTATTAATATCAGATTTCACAATATGATCACCTATTATTAGTCACAATTTCCACAAATTTTACATTTGTAATTAAAAGTTTTGTTCAAGCTATAACACAGGGTGTTGAGAAAAACTAATAAGGCAAAGAGAAATATTTAGAAAACTGTTAAATGCTTCAGAAGATCAAAGGAATTATGATAATGGCGATGATGATAATGACGATGATTAATTCTCTCTTACTCTCAAATTCTAGTTGGAAAGAAGAGCTTGCATTTGGAAGAAGTGGAAGAGGTTATATTGATAGAATGAGGTTCATATCATAGAAACGTGTAAATGATGAGATATGAATTTAGATGGCTTTTTGAAAATAAGCGAGCAATTGGCAGGATTGCTAAATAAAATACAGAATACTCAGTTAAATTTGAATTTCAGATAAACAAAAGATAATTTATTAGTACAAATATATTCCAAATATTACTTGGAATGTACTTATAGCAATAAATTATTTGTTGTTTATCTGAAATTCAAACTTACATGGGTATCTTCTATTTTTATTCACTAAATCTAAAGCCCTAATAATTAGATAATATCTTAATGTTGTTAATGCTGCTATAACAGAATACCTTAGACTGGGTAATTTATAAACAGCATACATTTATTGCTCACAGTTCTGGAGGCTGGGAAGTCCAAGATCAAGGGACCAGCAGGTTCAGTGTCTGGTGAGGGTCTTGTTTCTGATTCCAAGATGGCATCTCTTGCTGTGTCTTCACATGGCAAAAGGGGCAAATAGCTGCATTGCACCTCTTTTATAAGAATGCTAATCCTCTGCCTTTATGATTTAATCATCACCTATCACATTGGTTATTAAGTTTTAATATGTGAATTTGGGGAGGACACAGCCAGACCATAGCAGGGGAGTTCTGTGAAGGGTCGCAAGTGATGTTTAAAAGCAATAATTCAGAGCAATTCAGCAGTCACTATTCTAGGAGTATTGGGGTAGGGAAGGAGTGGAAGTAAGAAAATTGTCCCAGTTTGGGTTCCCCTAAAAGCAGAGCCTAAGAAAGAATTCAAAGGCGGTAATTTATACAAGACATGAGGCCGGGAAACTTTATAAGCAAAGGAGGAAAGTGAAAGCCATTATAAGGGTGCATTGTGTAGGTCTTTGCTGTAGGCAGTTGGGGCAGGATTCCACTGGTTTTACTAAAAAAGCCTATACAATGCCTCCTAGGAGGGGGACTAGGGCTTTTGTTCTTCAGCTCCCAGCCTTCCACTGGTTAAGATTTTCATTTGAGAGGTGAAGGGGATCGAAATATGCCACTTCCAAGTATGCCACTTTGACATAAGAGTTTTTTTTTTTTTTCTTTAGCTGAAGGCAAATATAAAACAGCAGATTCAGAAAAGCACTCTCTACTCCCCCAACCTATGTACCTTAAAGCAGGGAATAAATTTCCCTTCTGAAGGTGTTCCCCCTCCGTTCTCTCCTACCAGGAAGGGCAGAAAGACTGTTAATCACCAAGTCAACTCTAGACTCTAACCAACCCAGAAACAACACCAAGAGGAGAGGAATCTGCATAACAAAACTTACTAAACAATTCTTATCTTCCATTAGTTTCCCCCATATATTTAACTTCCCACAGTTTACCAGGCCTAGATGCATACAATCATTTTCTTTTGTCACTGATTCACAAATTTATTGCCCTTTGTTAAAATGGTTTAGAATCCCCTGGGTCTGACTGCCTCTTTGTGGTTTTCACTTCCCTTTCTGTGAGACTCCTATGCCATGTAAAAATATTAACATCAAATAAAATTTGTGGGAGGAAAGTAGATCTTTAGGACTTGAGTGAGGAAAAGTTTGCAAGTCTGGACAGAAGGGAAAAGTGTTCCTGAGAGACTAGCTTTGGGTAGGGGACGTGGAAGAAAAGAATAGCTTTTTTTAATTTCTTCTACTCTTAAAAAGCTTTTTTCTCTTCATCCAAGCTGACCAGCACAATTGGGATACCCACACTGTCCCTCTCCAGCTCTAGCTCTCTCCTTATAAAGCGTCAAGATTATGTCAATTGGTCAGAGCCAGTCAGGGATTTTGTGTGAGTGCCGAAGGAACTGCAGGAGCCAGAGAAGAATAAAACTGTGTAGAGTCAGCCTGGCTTCCAGCTTGTTCTAACTGGCCCTGAGTCTTTGGATGCAGCCTGCAGAGGCTGCAAGTGAGATTCCTTAACAGTGTTCTAGAAGCAGCTGATGGAGATAGGGTGGCCAACTAGATGCAGCCAAGAATAACTTCTTCCATTGAGATACAAGACCATAAAGAAAATTGACACACTCCAAGCAGATTTTAGGAAGGAATGCATTGAGACAGGACAGAAGGTGGATGTGGACCCTGGACTGAAGGGTGAGGAAGCTGAGAACCCTGTATGGGGTTGCTGAGCACCAGGACTCAATCCTGGTCCCAAGCGACTCCTGGGGAAGGAGTGAGTTAAATAGGCATGGAGTGGCCCACTCTTGCCATGCTCCATCAGAATCCTAGCTGCAGGAAACCCCATGACACCATGAACATTTGAGTCAGCAGGAAGAGCTGCTCGGAGAGATGTCAGGGACAGGACTCCAGCCTCCACAGAATCCACAGGGTTTGGTTTGAGAATGGCTGGAACACATCCAGGGATGCCCATCCCTCTAGTCTTGCCATGATCCTCCAGGTGACTTTGTCCTTTGTTGACTGTCAGACTTTGACAGAACAGGGCTTTCTTGCCCGTGAGACAGGGCCAGTCTGATCTGAGCACTGCCCTGTCTGATGGCCTCTACCAGGGCCCCTGCCTCATTTCACCCACTTGCAGCACAGCTTCAGATGCCAAATTAGAGTGTTTCCCAGAGGCCATTGCCATAGCTCTTTTGCTGACAGACCCCACCTGTCAGAGAGCTTTCGAAGATGAGTCCTAACAGTGCACACTTGCCTGAGGCCTCCCTCACCACTTTACTGGCATGCACTCACCTGCAACCTATCCTTACCACTTTGCCAGTGTGCGTACATGTGTGGACTTCACTGTACTGACACCGTTGGTGCATGTGCACATGTGGACCTCACCACCACTATCTTGTCCCTGCTGGCACACAATACATAAACCCGGCTGCACCACTGTACTGCTGCTGCCTCATGCACATGTGCAGACCATGTTGCCCTGCTGCTGCTGGTGCATATGTGCCCACAGACCCCGACACGTTGCTGCCCTGCTGCTGCTGATGCACATGCATTAACACAGACCCTGCTGCCACGACTCTGATGAAGAACTTTTTCTGGTACCTCCCAGTGGAGTGTTGTTGCTAGTGGACCAGGAACACAATGGACCCACCAGTGCAGCAAATGTTTAACCTCAAGAGACCAGAAACAAAGACATGGGCCTGGTCCTAGCCCTCCAGGATTAAAGTATGCAGCCTAAGAGTGCTGACATGAGCCTTAGTCCCTGAAATTATCCAGAAATAAAGCCAGTCAACCAAAGTCAACTTGTATCACAGTCACACCCTAAAGGGCATCAAAGAATATAAAAGCAAAAAGCTCCATCTAAAGAACAACAACTTTAAAGATTAAAGGAACATCAGCCCACACAGTTGAGAAAGAAACAGTGCAGGAACTCTGGCATCTCTAAAAGCCAGAGTGTCGTCTTACCTCCAAACAACTGCACTACCTTCCAAGCAATGGTTCTTAACCAGACCAAAGTGTTTAAAATTACAAACATAGAATTCAGAACCTGGATCCAGATCATCGAGATTTAAGAGAAAGTGGAAATCCAATCAAAGAATCAAAGAAATCCAGTAAAGCAATTCAAGAGCTGAAAAATGAAACAGCCATTTTATAAAGAAACAAACTGATCTGACAGAGCTGAAAATCTCACTACAGAAATTTCATAATACAATCAGAAGTATTAACAGCAGAATAGACCAAGCCGAGGAAAGAATCTCAGAGCTCAAAGATTGGTTCCTTGAATCAACTCAGTCAGACAAAAATAAATAAAAAATAATAGAAAACAACGAAAAAAAACCTCTGAGAAATATGGGATTATGTAAAGAGATTAATCTATGACTCACTGGCAACCCTGAAAGAAAGAGAGAGAGAGAGAGATAGTGAGCAAGCAGTATGAAAAATATATTTGAGGATATTGTTCTTGAAAATTTCTCCAGCCTTGCTAGAGAGGTCAACTTTCAAATTCAAGAAATTCAGAGAACCTCTGTGAGACACTACACAAGATTACCATTCCAAAGACACATAGTCATCAGATTCTCTAAGGTTAACATGGCAGAAAAAAATATTAAAGGCACCGAGAATGATTGGGTAGGTCACCTACAAAGGGAATCCCATGAGACTAATAGCAGACCTTTCAGCAGAAACCCTACAAGCCACAGGAAATTGGGGTACTATATTCGGCATTCTTAAAAAAGAGAAATTCCAACCAATAATTTCATATCCAGTCAAAATAAGCTTTGTAAGCAAAGGATAAATAAAATCCTTTTCAAACAAGCAAATGCTAAGGGAATTCATTACCACGAGATCTGCCTTAAAATAGGTCTTTAAGAGAGTGCTAAACATGGAGAAAAAAGACTGTTACCAGTCACCACGAAAATACACTTTAGTATTATACATAAACCATTGAAGCTATAAAGGAGCAGCACAATCAAGTCTGCATAACAACAAGCTAGCAACACTATGAAAGGATTAAATTTGCACATATCAATATTAACCTTGAACATAAAAGGGCTAAATGCCCCACTTAAAAAGTGGCAAGTTGATATAGAAGCAAGACCCAACTGTATGCTATCGTTAAGAGATTTGTCTGACATGCAATGACACCTATAGGCTTAAAGTAAAGGGATGGAGAAAGATCTATTAAGCAAACTGAAAACAAAAAAGAGCAGGGGGTTCTATTCTTAATTCAGACAAAACAGACTTTAAAGCAACAACAATCAAAAAGGACAAAGAAGGGCATTACATTATGATAAAGAATTCAATTCAACAAGAACACTTAACTATTTTAAATATATATGCATCCAACATTGGGGCACCCAAATTCATTAAAAAAGTTCTTAGAGACCTATGAAGAGACTAAGATAACCACATAGTAATAATGGGATACTTCAGTGTATCACTGATGGTATTGCCCAGATCACTGAGGCAGAAAACTAACAAAGATACTTGGGACCTAAGCTCAACACTTGACAAAATGGCCCTAACAGGCATCTACAGGACACTCCATCTAACAACAACAGAATATACATTCTTCTCATCTGCACATGGAACATATTCTAAAAGCGATTCTCAACAAATTCCAAAAAAACCAAAATTATACCAACCACACTCTTGCACCACAATGCAGTTAAAATAGAAATCAATACTAAGAAGATCTCTCAAAATCATATAATTACAAGAAAATTAAACAATCTGCTCCCAAATGACTTTTGGGTAAATAATGAAATTAAGGGAGAAATCAAGAAATTCTTTGAAACTAATGAGAACAAAGATACAATATGCCAGAATCTCTGGGCCACAGCTAAAGGAGTGTTAAGAGGAAAGTTTATAACTGCTAAATGCTCACATCGAAATTTAGAAGGATCTCAAATTAATAACCTCACATCACATCTAGAGGAACTAGAAAAACAAGAGCACACCAACCCCAAAGATAGCAGATTAAAAGAAATAACCAAAACCAGAGCAGAATTGAACAAAATTGAGATGTGAAAAACCATATGAAAGATCAACAAAATAAAAAGTTGTTTCTTTAAAATAATAAATAACATTGATAGACTGTTATCTAGACTAATAAAGAAAAAAAGAAGATTCAAATAAATACAATCAGAAACGACAAAAGGGACATTACCACCAACCCCATAGGAAAAAAAAAAAAAACCCAGAGACCACTACAAACACCTCTACCTCTATGCACACAAACAAGAAAACCCAGAATAAATGGATAAATTCCTGGAAACATACAACCTCCCAAGACTGAATGACAAAGAAAGTGAAACCCTAAACAGACCAATAACAAGTTCTGAAGTTGAATCAGCAATAAAAAACTTACCAACCAGAAAAAGTCCTGGACCAGATGGATTCACAGCTGAATTCTACCAGATGCATAAATAAGAGTTGGTATGAATCCTACTGAAGCTATTCCAAAACATCAAGGAGGAGGGACTCCTTGCTAACTCATTTTATGAGGCCAGCATCATTCCAATAACAAAACCTGGCAGAGACACAATCAAAAAAGAAAGCTTCAGGGTAATATCCCTAATGAATGTAGATAAAAAAGTCCTTAACAAAAATATTAACAAACTGAATCCAGCAGCACATCAAAAAAGCTAGTCCACCATGATCAAGTAGACTTTATTCCTGGGATGCAAAGTTGGTTCAACATATGCAAATCAATAATGTGATTCATCAAATAAATAGAACTAAAAATAGAAGCCACATGATCATCTCAACAGATGCAGAAAAGGCTTTCAATAAGATTCAACATCCAAAACTATCAATAGACTAGACATCAGTGGAACACAGCTCAAATTAATATAAGCCATCTATGACAAACTCACAGCCATCATACTGAACAGGTATATAAAAGCTGGAAACATTCCCCTTGAGAACCGGAACAAGACAAGGATGCCTACTGTCACCACTGCTATTGAACATAGTTCTGCCTAGCCACAGCAAGCAGGCAAGAAAAATAAAAAAAAAAAAGTGTATCCAAATAGGAAGAGAGAAAGTCAAGCTATCTCTCTTCACAGACAATTTGATTCTATATGTAGAAAACCCCATTGTCTCTGCCCAAAAGCTCCTAGATCTGATAAACAACTTCAGCAAAGTTTCAGGACAGAAAAACCAATGTACAAAAATCAGTAGCATTTCTATACACCAATAACGTCCAAGCTGAGGGCCAAATCAAGAAAGCAATCCCATTCACAATAGCCACAAAAAGAATAAAATACCTAGGAATACAGCTAATCAGGGAAGTGAAAGATCTCAATAACGAGAATTACAAAACACTGCTGAAAGAAATTAGCGACAAAACACTGCTGAAAGAAATTGGAGACAACACAAATGAATGGAAAAAACATTTCATGCTCGTGGATAGGAAGAATCAATATTGTTAAAATGGCCATACTGCCCAAAGCAGTTTACAGATTTATTGTTAATCATATCAAACTATCAATGTCGTTTTTCACAGAATTAGAAAAAGCTATTGTAAATTTCATATGGAGTAAAAAATGAGCCCTAATGTCCAAAGCAATCCTAAGCAGAAACAACAAAGCTGGAGGCATTACACTACCCAACTTCAAACTATACTACAAGGCCTTGGTAACCAGAACAGCATGGTACTGGTACAAAAACAGACACATAGACCAATGGAACAGAATAGAGAACCCAGAAATAAAGCCGCACACCTACAACATTCCAATATTCAGCAAAGTCGACAATAACAAGTAATGGAGAAAATACTCCCTATTCAATAAATAGCACTAGGATAGCTGGCTAGCCATATGCAGAAGACTGAAACTGGACCCTTTTCATATATATAAAAATCAACTCATGATGAATTAAAACTTAAATGTACAACCTAAAACCATAAAAATCACAGAAGAAAATCTAGGAAATGCTATTTTTGACATAGGCCCCGGCAAAGATTTCATGATGAAGGCTCCAAAAGCAATTGCAACAAAAACAAAAATCCACAAGTGGGACTTAATTAAACTAAAGAGCTTCTGCACAGCAAAGCAACTATCAGCAGAATAAACAGACAACATACAGAATGGGAGAAAATACTTGCAAACTATGCATCTGAAAAAGGTCTAATATCCAGAATCTATAAGGAACTGAAACAAATCAACAAGCCCAAAACAAACAACCATTAAAAAATGGGCAAAGGACATGAACAGATGCTTTTCAAAAGAAGACATACACACAGCCAATAAGCATATGAAAAATGCTTAACATCACTAATCATTAGAGAAATGCAAATCAAAATCACAATGAGATACCATCTTACACCAGTCAGAATGGCTATTACTAAAAAGTCAAAAATTAACAAATGCTGGCAATGTTGCAGAGAAAAGGGAACCCTGATACACTGCTGGTTGCAATGCAAATTAGTTCAGCCACTGTGCAAAGTAGTCTGGAGAGTTCTTGAAGAACTTAGAATTACTGGCCGGGCGTAGGCGTGGTGGCTCACGCCTGTAATCCCAGCCCTTTGGGAAGCCGAGGTGGGCAGATCACTTGAGATCAGGAGTTCGAGACCAGCCTGGCCAACATGGCGAAACCCTGTCTCTACTGAAAATACAAAAATTAGCCAGGTGTGGTGGTGCATGCCTGTAATCCCAGCTACTCAGGAGGCTCAGGCAGGAGAATCGCTTGAGTCTGGGAGGCAGAGGTTGCAATGAGCTGAGATCATGCCACTGCACTCCAGCCTGGGTGACAGAATGAGACCTGTCTCAAAAAAATAAAATAAAATAAAATAAAATAGAACTACCATTTGACCCAGGAATCCCACTACTGGGTATATACCCAAAGGAGTATAAATCATCCTACCATAAAGACACATGCATGTGTATATTCATTGCAGCACTATTCACAATAGCAAAGACATGGCATCAACCTAGATGTCCATCAACAGAGGACTGGATAAAGAAAAGGTGGTACTTATATACCATAGATTACGATGCAGCCATAAAAATGAATGAGATTATGTCTTTTGCAGCAGTATGGATGAAGCTATGGGCCATTATCCTAAGCAAATTAATTGAAGAATAGAAAACCAAATACTGCATGTTTTCACTTATAAGTGGGAGCTAAACATTGATTACTCATGGACACAATGAAGGGAACAATATACACTTGGGCTTACCTGAGGGTGGAAGGTGTGTGGAGGGTGAGGAATGAAAAACTACCTGTAAAGTACTATGCTCACTACTTGGGTGATGAAATAATTTCTGTACCAATTATACACATTTTACCCATGGTAATACACATTTTACCCATGTAACACACCTATACATGTACCCCCTGAATCTAAAATAAAAGTTGGAAAAAATACATAAAATTTTTGTGTCTTTTTTCCTGTTAATCTGTCTTTTGTCAGTTTATTTTGCAGTGCCCTTTGTACTGAACATAAGAGGGTAAAGGGAATGATTTTTTCTTCCTATATAGACTTGTTAATAACCCCACACATCTGGGCTTGAGATGTGCAGTTTTCTCAAGTACTTCCTTGAGACGAGCAGTTTTAAAAAACTTCAGAGAAAGCCCAGAGGTGGGAAGGCTTGGAGCAGCTCAAAGTACCTGAAGTGGGATGCTGTTGGCAGTAGTCTGATCTGGATGAAATATGATGTGGGACACCAAAAATACCTACAGAGACCACAAAGAGGCCACTGATGCAATGCGGAAGTGACAAAGCATTGGGCTAGGATTAGTCATTGTTCCAAAACCACTTATTAAGCATCCACCATATAGTATAAGTGTGTTCTAAACATTGGGAATCCAAAGAAGAATGATGTAGTTCCTGCTTTCAATGAACTTTCAGTCTAGTACAGGAAAAATGTTGAAAAACGTTGAAAATACATATAGCAATTAGAATGTAGTATGCTAATTATGATCACAGAAGTATATTTAAAATATTATCAAAATAAGAGGAAGTACTGAGAAAAAGAGAGCAAAAAACAAGAGTAAAGAGATTTTAAAGATTAAGCAGTCAAATTAGGTAAATGACTAACTCTCCCCTGTCTTTAATATCTGGCATTGAAATGTGAATTCAAGATTTTGAATGATGGTGACTGATAAATATTTGACCCAAGAGAACTATAAAGTTGGGAAAATGAGTTTGTTTTATGGAGAATGATAATGAATTATTTCTATACCACATGAAGTTGAAAGTATAAATATGTCTGGGAGGTTCCCGAAGATACAGGGCTGATGATTGGTTTAAAGGCTAGAGCTAGAAATCACCTGAGAATTCTGTAGGCTTGGAGGAGAGCAGAAACCATGACAGGTCATGCTCAATAAGTGAAACACTGATGACAGAATCAAGTTGGTGCTGAGAATGGTGCCTCAGACAGCACCTGTGGTTAAAGATTAAGCGGAGAAACAGATGACAGAGGAACTCAGACAAAAGATTGAGTAGTGTATAAGAAGCTAAGGGAGGAGTTATAAGAGGGGACTGGTTGGCAAGGAAGTCAAGGAAGGTTAGCTAGTCATTCAGTAAACACCAAACAAATTTGATTGGCTTAAACCCAAATGAACAATAGCTTAGTTGTAATATATAGGTATTTACAGACAATTCAATTAGTAGCCTTTGACCTCCAAGCAAAATGAAGTTAAATTAAGGCAAGTATAGCAAAAACATGTGACTGCTATCACTAGCATAAGCCAGAGCTTACCAAAAGTTAAGCAGCTCTTGTGAGTCTTAGGGACATATATTTTTTCTGGGTCTGGGGTAGGTGTCTGTTCTTTGAATGGTTCCTGTAATCATGTGTGGTAGACACGCTCATGCACCATCCAGATACCTCTTTGGTGAAGAACTTCTTGCACAAGTTGCTGAGAGTACTATTGGTGCAGATAATTTTCAAATATCATTGCAAAGATTGCGTTAGTTGCCTGAGGTCATATCCTTCCCAAGCGGATGCATTCCAATGACTAATGGAGATGAGGGTAAAAAGGCCTGATTATCTTGGCCCATCTTGGATCTTTCCATGAAGTAGCCCATGTGTCATTGCTTACCTCACAGCTTCATTTCTTCTGCCTAGTTCTGCTTTCTTCTCCTCCCTCCCATAAGACTCTCCTTAAGAATCATCCTGTGACCTAAACTCCATCTCAGCATTTGCTTCCCAGGAAAATCACCCTGTGACATCATGGAACCTACATGCAATCAGTTAAGTGACATCATGCAATCAGTTAAGTGTCTTCAAGTAACAGATAACTCCATATCAACTGGGTTAAACAATAAAAAAAATTGTAATCGCATATTACCTGAAGTTTTGAGGTGGGATTGTTCCAGGGTTTGTTAACCCAGTGACTGGTTGAAACCATTAAGTCCCCAAGTCTTTGTTGTGCTGTCCTCAGCATGGTGGATTTGTGATTCAGCTTAGCACTCCTCATGGTCACAAGATAGCATCACAGATAGGTGTAAAAATCTCCTGAAAAAGAAAAGGACTGATATTTTCCATGTGAACCTTTGTGAAGAGCAAGACATCCTTTCTTAGAAGCTGTTTTGCTAACTTCCCCTTAGTCACTGGATGTAACTGGGGCTTACATTTTCCTCCAAACCAATCACTGGAAAGGGAATGAGATGACAGAGATTTGCAGAGACCAATCAAAATTTGCTCCTGATCTTTTGAGGAATGGATGGATGTACCCCTGAAAAAAATCAGGCTAACTCCATTGCCACAATGCTACCATGTGTTTATTTAGAATTTTCCTTCTAAGTAACTCATTTTACATAACTTAAAATCTGGGTTAGGTAGCTGGAGGGAACTGTTATTTTTATATAAAGCACCTGGATGGGCCTTCTGTGAATCTTCCTGCAAGGACAATGAAATAATTTTTTTTTGGCAGAGGATGAGATGTGTGTTGTTCTTTCCTAACCATCAGTGAGCTGACTATGTATTGGGTATACATGCATTTTCACCAGAGCTTGAGTTCAGAGGAAAGTGGCAGCACCTGATATCATGCATCAATTTTAGTGAATTTGGAAGGAAGAGTTAAGAAGCACATTTTCAAATAAGCCAGTCACAAAAGGACAAATACTATATGATTTAACTTATATGAGGCATCTAGATGTATTAGTCCATTTTCATGCTGCTATAAGGAACTACCCGAAGCAGGGTAATTTATAAAAAAAGAAGTTTGACTCACAGTTCTGCAGGACTTGGTGGCCTCAGGAAACTTACAATCATGGTGGAAGAGGAAGCAAACATGTCCTTCTTCACGTGGTGGCAGGAAGGAGAAGTGCTGAGCAAAGGGGGAAAAGCATCTTATAAAACCATCAGATATTGTGAGAACTCACTCATTATCATGGGAACAGCATGGGGGTAACTGCCCCCATGATTCAATTTTCTCCCACTCAGTCCCTCCCACAACCCATGAGGATTATGGGAACTACAATTCAAGATGAGAGTTGGGTGGGGACACAGCCAAATCATATCATTCCACCCCTGGCCCCTCCCAAATCTCATGTGCTCATATTTCAAAAGACAATTATGCCCTTCCAACAGTCCTCCAAAGTCTTAACTCCTTCCAGTATTAACCCAAAAGTCCAAGTCTAAAGTCTCATCTGAGACAAGGTAATTCCCTTCCACCTATGAGCCTGTAAAATCAAAAGCAAGTTAGTTACTTCCTAGATACAATGGGGGTACAGCCATTGCATAAATACGCCCATTCCAAATGGGAGAAATTGGTCAGAACAAAGGGGCTACAGGCCCCATGCAAGTCTGAAATCCAATAGGGCAGTGATTAAAACTTAAAGTTCCAAAATGATCTCCTTTGACTCTGTGCCTCACATGCAGGTCACGCTGATGCAAGAGGTGGGCTCCCACAGTCTTGGGCAGCCCTGTCCCTGTGGCTTTGCAGGGTACATCCCCCCTCCTAGCTGCTTTCATGGCTGGTGTTGAGTGTCTGTGGCTTTTCCAGGTGCACAGTGCAAGCTGTCAGTGGATTTACCATTCTGGGGTCTGGAGGATGATGGCCCTCTTCTCACAGCTCCACTAGGCATTGCCCCTGTGGGGACTCTGTGTGGGGGTTCCAATCCCACATTTCCCTTCTGCACTGCCCTAGCAGAGGTTCTCCATGAGGGCTCTGCCCCTGCAACAGACTTCTGCCTGGACATCGAGGTGTTTCCGTACATCCTCTGAAATCTAGGCAGAGGTTCCTAACCGCAACTTTTGACTTCTGTGCACCCACAGACTCAACACCACATGTAAGCCACCAAGGCTTGGGGCTTTCACACTCTGAAACAATGGCCCGAGTTGTATGTTGGCCCCTTTTAGCCATGGCTGGGATGCAGGGCACCAAGTCCTGAGACTGCACAAAGTAACAAGGTCCTGGGCCTGGCCCATGAAACCATTTTTCCCTCTTAGGCTTCCAGGTCTGTGATGGGAGAGGTTGCCCACAAAGGTCCCTAACATGCTCTGGAGACATTTTCCCCATCGTCTTGGTGACTAACATTTGGCTTCTTGTTACTTATGCAAATTTCTGTGGCAGGCTTGAATTTCCCTCCAGAAAATGGGTTTTTCTTTTCTATCACATCATTAAGCTGCAAATTTTCCAAACTTTTATGCTCTGCTTTCTCTTGAATGCTTTGCTGCTTAGAAATTTCTTCCGCCAGATATCCTAAATCATCTCTCTCAAGTTCAAAGTTCTACATATCCCTAGGGAAAGGGCAAAATGCCACCAGTCTCTTTGTTAAAGCATAACAAGAGTGACCTTTGCTCCAGTTCCCAAGAACTTCTTCATCTCCATCTGAGATCACCTCAGCCTGGACTTCTCTGTCCATATCACTATCAGCATTTTGGTCAAAGCCATTCAACAAGTCTCTACGAAGATCCAAAATTTTCCACATTTTCCTGTCTTCTTCTGAACCCTCCAAATTATTCCAACCTCTGCCTGTTACCCAGTTCCAGAGTTGCTTCCACATTTTCAGGTAACTTTACAGCAGCATCCCATGCTGCATGGTACAAATTTACTGTATTAGTCCATTTTCATGCTGCTATAAAGAACTTCCCAAGACTGGGTAATTTATAAAGGAATGAGGCTTAATTGACTCACAGTTCCACAGGGCTGGGGAGGCCTCAGGAAACTTACAGTCATGGTGGAAGGGGAAGCAAACACATCTTTCTTCACATGGTGGCAGAAAGAGAAGTGACAAGCAAAGGGGGAAAAGCACCTTATAAATCTATCAGATGTTGTGAGAATTCACCCACTATCACGAGAACTGCATGGGGATAACCAGCCCCAAGATTCAATTATCTCCCACTGGGTCCCCTCCATGACACATGGGGATTATTAGAACTACAATTCAAGGTGAGATTTTGGTGGGGGCACAGCCAAACCATATCACTAGAATAGTCAAATTCATAAAGAAGAAAGTAGTATGGTGGTTTGCAGAAGCTGGGGAAGGAGGGGGAATTAGGAAATTATTGTTTAATAGGTACAGAATTTCAGTTTTGAAAGATTAAAGAAGTTCTGAAGCTGAATGGTGGTGATATTTGCAGTGATTATTCTTAATGCCACTGAACTGTATGCTTAAAAATGGTTAAAATGCTAACTTTTATGTAATGTACATTTTACCACAATTAAAAGATATAAGTATATTTTCAGAGAACACCTGCAGGAAGAAGACTCAACAAATGAGGTTTAAAAAATTTGTTTATTAGAAAATGTTAATCACCCACTGGAACTGCTTCAGCTTATAAAAATCTACTGCAAGTGTATTTCATTGTGTTCTATTTGTAAAATAGCTTTGATTATTTTAAATGATTGTGTCTCTTAGCTCATCATGTAGCAAAATTAATTCTAAACAGTGGTTTGAGTTTAAATGGTTAATTATTCCATAATAAACTTATATTATTTTAATAATAAAGACTCCAATCATCCTACTTCAGAAGGTGAGTGGCTGCTTTTCTCATTTATGTCCACACTGATGTCATTTTTTTAATTTAAAGAATAATTAACTGTGTTGGGGGAAAATGATTAAAATTGGATGAATATGTTAATGTATTTTAATAGCTTGACTGGGAGTTTCATAAATCTCATTTCTAGCCAAAGTATGTCACTATAAATGAGTTTCAACTTACTCCTGCTCAGAAGAGAATACTCTGCTAAAATATTTTTAGCTACTTAAAGCCCAAACTGGATGTCCATCTCTTGATGTAGAGCAAATGTTTACACTATGAAGAAGCCATATTAGGTAACTTCTAAGGGCTTTTTAAACTCCATGGCTCTGTAATATGCTCAATCTTTGCCAATGACTCTCATTAGCACTGAACAGAAAGAGATATGCATCTTAAGAAAATTTTAATATCATTGTGGTTCACACTAATGAAAGTTTTTCTCATATACTCTATAAAGTCAGAGGCCCCTATTGTAGGCCAAATAACCCCACTAAAGTGAACTGTCCTATTTATTTCCATTATCCCAATTAAACTCATAAAATCAAATAGTATGACAGATGCTGCTCAGTCAGTATTTTGGAAATGTAAGAATCAAATAAATGAGTGATTGGGAACTGTCTTAGGCAATTTCTATAGCAATAAAGAGAAATATATTCAGACTACTGAAACATGATCAGTATAGCAGGTTCTGTCAGTGCCTATCCACATCTTTTTGGTATTCAGTGTTTCTGTTTAATGGTGTCTTACTTAAAGCGCATGGAACTTTCTGCTTGAGAATTTCATCTGGCCTCAGGAGAATGCCCAGCCCATATAAGGGTCAGGCTGGAAGTGCCAAGGAGTTAACTTTCCTGGAAACAGTCCTCCACCGATGATAGTTGGATATGGTGGGTAAATATCTCAGCTTTCTATCTCCTTGGGTGGATGACCCTAAGTCAACGTTTACCCTGTCTCCAAAAGAATCCCCAGTATGATTTAGCGCTAGAGCAATGATATGCTCAACAACACACTTGTATTGGCTTCCCTCCTTTCTTTGTCTCAGTGCTCCACTCCTCTACCAGTGCTTTCTGGGATCATCTCCCAAGTAAACTAATAGTACTCAATCCCTTGTCTTAAGGTCTGCTTCTGGGGGAAACAGAACAAGGGTAACCTGTAAGGGAGAAATAGTCTCATAGGAATCCAATAACTGGCACAATGGAATGAAACTCAGTCTCATGGCAAATGAGTCTGGCAATGGGATTTCATGAGTATTTGCTATAAGGTTCCACTGTTACATAAAACATGTTGATTTTTTCTTCTCCTCTCTCCTCCATCCTAATTCCTCACCCTATGTTCCGCAGATCTTTTCTCAAGTTTGGAGCCCCTACTTATTAATAAATTTGAATTGCTAATAATATTGACTAACTCATGGCTTAACATGACCCTCCCACTCCTCTCTACTTCATGAATTTTCAGTTTTAGCCTTCACTGTTAATCATAGAAGTCTAATTTCATTTTCCAGTTCAAATGGTGGAGAGTAAAAATCTAATATACCCAAACTTTGAGCAGAGTTAATTACAATAGATTAGTAATGCATAGTTAGACATCATCTAATCCAGGGCACATATGAGAGTGAAAGAGGCACTATTAATAAACTAGGACTATTTGTATAAACCAGGACTATTTGGAGTGTGAAAGAAAAATATCTTGGGCCCCCAAAATCACTAAGGGAAACTCAAGCTGCAAACTGCTTAGGGAAAACCTGCCTCCCATTCTATTCAAAGTCACCCCTCTGCTCACTGAGATAGATGAATATCTGACTTGCCTCCTTTGGAAAGGCTAATCAGAAACTCAAGAGAATGTATCACCTATCTGTGACCTGGAAGCCTTCTCCCTGCTTCCAGTCTTCCTGCCTTTGCTTCAAGTTGTCCCGCCTTTCTAGACAGAACCAATGTACTTCTTACATATATTGATTGATGTCTCATGTCTCTCTAAAATGTATAAAACTAAGCTGTGCCCCAACCACTTTGGGCACATGTCGTCAGGACTTCCTGAAGCTGTGTCATGGGCACATCCTCAACCTTGGCAAAATAAACTTTCTAAATTAACTGAGACCTGTCCCAAATTTTCGGGGTTCACATTTTGATAACCATGGAGAGATTCTGAATGGAGATGCCCCTGACTTTTGGCAAATCTCCTATTAGTGCTTGGTACCAGCATGAGCTAACTTTATGGCTCAAACCAATAGGACAATTTGCTGAGGTCTGGGAGTACCCCCTCCAGAGAATCCCTCATCTCCCAAAATGTGGTTGAGATCTAAAGTTTATTTCGCTGTACAACTCCTCTTTTTTGGATTTTTACTTGCTTCCAACTGAAGGAAGGCAAGTTTTTTCCTGCTTCCATGACAATGGAAGGCAGGTAAGGTGAGTTTTGTTTCTGCTGTTCTTTTTTTTTTTTTTTTTTTCTTGTTTCTAGGATGCTAGAGAGCAGTCTACAGCCTGAGACCCATCACTAGGTAAGAAACTGGTTTGGGGTTTTGTCTTGCAAATTTCTTTTAAATGACTAAAGTTAGCATTTAACAACCAGCTGGTGCGAATTTCTCCTTATACTTAGAGCACTCAGAAATCCTATAACTTGTGTGATCATTGTTAGTTTAGCAGCATTTTGTCCTAGCTGAAACACAGTAATCAGAGTTTTTTTTTTTTTTTTTTAAGGAGCTCAGTGTTAGCTGAGTTAGGCCAAAGTTAGCTTAATTAAAAGGCTAACATCCAAGATGTGTGTGTGTATGTGTGCATGTGTGCATGATTGTATTTGAAAGGCCTTCATGTTTTAGGGTTTTTTTCTTTTTTTTCTCCTAAGACCTTGTCTTTGTTTTTGAGCAGAAGTTTTTGTTTGTTTGTTTGTTTTTGTTTTTGTTTTCTTCTCAGTTGACTGAATTCTGTTTTCATCTGTTTTTTGTTTTTTTTTTTTTGACTAAAATAGTTATTGCAACAGAGGCTACTCTTGGGTTTTTGAGAAAGAGCGTAGTTTAATTTTGTGTTCAATTTGGCTCAAAGAAAAATAAAAGTGTCACCCTTTAGCACCACCAGACTTTTACTCTCTGTACCTTATGATGTAAATTTTGCTATTTGATTTTCACCTGAGTTGTTTCCTTTAATGTGCAAATTCAAGGCTGTTTAGCTGATAACTGCCTAGGATTGTGAAGCAGGTTATCAAGAATTTGAAAGCCTAGATAGAAAAAAAAAGGGGGGGGGGGCTCTTTATAAGTCTATAAAATGCACCTCCATTGGCATGCCTAATACACCTTTATATGTGTTTATGTGTTGTGTACAAAATGTTTCACTACTAAAAATACATAACAGAGCTCTAATTAATTAGCTTAAGGAAAAATATAAGCACTTAAATCAGATACCAGAAAAGAAAAGACTAGTCAAATGCTTTTTCAAATTTATGTCACTTAAGGAAAATCTTTAATAAATAAGCTAGTTTTAAAATTATTGGTAAAGTAATATTAGAAATGTCTTAAGAATTGCCAGCATACATTTTTTGTTTTGCATTTATTAATAAGGCAATTTCATACTTATCCCTACCAAACACTACAGGGGGTCAAAACTTTGTATAGGGGTTACAAAACTATAAAACCAGTCCAAAACAGAATGATTTTTGCCTGTGTAATTTTTAATAAATAAGACATTGATATGGGTTTAATGAAAATAGCTGCATCTTGAATTTAGTAAGATTGCCGTAACTTCTAATCCTGTGGCTTTAGGCAGTCTAGTCCACAGGAAAAGGAGGTTTGTTTTTGGGAAAGGACTGTTAACATCTTTGTTTCAAAGCTAAGCTATAAACTAAGTTCCTCCCAGAGTTAGTTTGGCCTATGCCCAGGAATGAACAAAGACAGCTTGGAGGTTAAGAGCAAGATGGAGTCCATTAAGTCAAATCTTATTTCACGGTCTCAGTTATAATTTTGCAATGGTGGCTTCATAACTTTAAATTCATGACTATCACAGTTTTCATAAATAATCTAGGTAAACAATTAAAAAAATAATTAGGTTAATGTAATGGGATAAATACTTGTAGAAAAGCTGGTCATAATTTAGAATATGAAGTTAAATTAAATAATAGATATTTCATTATTTGAGTATTTTCCAATAAATATATATTGTAAAAAAAATTCTTGCAAAATAAAAAGCATGTCCTTTTAAAAAAAAGGTGAAAAGTTTTTGTCTAATTCAAAGCTTATTTAAAGGTTCTGTATAAAACAAGGTAAAAGGAACCAGAAAATAAAAAGAGATGTAAAGAAAGTTACAAAGAGGCGTGTGTGTGTGTGTGTGTATGTGTGTGTGTGTGTGGCAAGAAAGCTTAAAGAGAAATAATTTTGTATGAGAAAGAATCTTAATATGATAAATTTTAGCCCTAAAATAAAATGACTGGTTATTTAAGAAGGAGGGATGTTCAGGACAAATCAGAAAGTCCAAATATTATTATTAAGTTTTGGTTTGCTTAGGAAAAGAAAACTGAGATAAAATTTTTTTTTTAATTAAGGTTGTTACATCCATGTATGTTCCTGTATATGCTTTTAAAGTCCTTGTGACATTGGGTTACAAGCCTTTGACTCCTGGATCTAAAAAGGATACCAAGTCCTACTAAATCTTAAACACTGACAGCAAGTACAGCCTCATCTTTAGGGCCCATAGAAGATGCCAATAAAAATAAACTGAATTTCTGAGACACAGGGCAAAAGATTAAAGCTGTTTCAACTTCTCAAGGCCCAGGGACTGTTGAGGAAGAGGTGGGCATGTAAGATTGTAAGGGCCAATTTTGAAAGATAAAATACGTTCAGTTTCTCTATAAATCAATCATTAATGCCAAAGGCACACTGATGCAAGACCAGCATATGGGCACCTGTGTCACATTAAGAAGGTTTTGTTGAAGTACTAACCAACTCCTTAATAAAGGTTAGAAAAGGCTTATGGAAGCTGTATTTTACCATCAAGATTAAAATTTTATAGATTGTTTCTAAAATTTTGAAAAACAAATTTAATTGGCTTCATGCTGTTCTTATTAGGGCTTATTGTTTGGAAAATTAAGTCTCCTCTGTCAAAGAATAACATTTGTCACTTCTTTTTGAGATCCTTGAATTATCACTTTGGTTAAATAAATGACTTTACAATTACTTGTAATCCTATTTTGTAATATCAAGTGTTTTAAACCTTTTATATTTGACAAACTTTTCAAATTCAAATTATAAACTATGTATTTTGTTAACCTAACTAATCCTTTAAGATATTAGTTCCCCTAAAGCACAAAAATGACATAATTTGGCTTATTTGGTATAAAAATTATATAGGAAGCATTGCCAAATATGAAATGATGTTTGGTTTTCTTCAGGCTGTATTTATAAATATGTTATTTGTATTTGTTCCAAAATTATGAGAAACTCCTGTAATTCTGATGCAATTTAGTGTACATTATTTGTAATAATCATAATTGTCATGTTCAAATTATTGTGTGCCACAGAGGTAGCACATTTCCTGGTCAATCGTGTGTTTTAACCATGGCTGCCTTTAAACTTTGTTTTCATCCATGGACAATTATGTCTTCTTTTGGTCCTCTTTAGAAGGCGGTTTTATAATCAGCTATAAAACTCCAGCAGTTGCTCTTGAATGCAGGTTTCTGATAACTTTGGAGATAACTTTGGAGACTGTGACATCAGAATAGAGGAAAAATTTTCAGGACTCATGGAGAGCTAAAATGCTCATGAGTATCAAGGTGAACAGGAGTTAACTTCATGGACTGAAACAATCTTTTTGACTTTTTACTTAATATGTTTGCTGATCCTTAGTTTTGTTTTTCAGAGTCTTAAAACTTTTCTTTTGAGCTATTGACAGCTTTTAACAATTTAGCATATTCCTATGAACAAAATTTGGAGCATTTTTTTTTCTACCTGATTTCTCCAGAATTGGAAACTATTCATGAGTATTCTTAACTTATGGCACTACAGTTATTTGCATAAGTGCCATAAGAATCTGTCTTCATTTGTAACAGGACACAATTGGAGAAATTGGTTATTTTACCAAAGCTTTGACTGGAATGGTGTGCTTTCCTTTAAGGAATCAAATTTGACTTATGGAGCCAATAAATCCCTTGGAAAAACTGGCCTCATATTCTGTGTAGACAGTCCCTGTACAGGGTTTCTGACCTGTAGTAAGTAAAAAATGTCACTTTCTGACAGGTGCAGAAGCCCTAGGTTTATCCTTGAACCTCAAGAGGTGAGAAAATTCACCCAACTCACAGATATTGGATGGCACTAATCCATGGCTGGGCTCAGCTTTAAAAAAGTTTTATCTGGGATTCCTTCTATGGAACAAAGTTTCATCAAAGCCAATTTAAAGCCTATGTAAAAAATAATTATTCTTGCTGCACTGTATACAAACAATTAGGCCAAGTATAATAAAGCAAACCCATGCTACCATGATTTGTCTTTAACTAAAATAGAAAAATGGAGAAAGAAAAATTGTTTCAAAAATGTTGTACACCTGTTGTTAGATTCCAGTCTTGCCTAATGATTTTAAATTTTCATTATTTCTACAGTTTGGGCTGAATTCTAATTTTTTGTTGGCAAGTCTTCAAAACGATGTTTTCAATTTTTGTCTTTTTTCCCTTCTTTTTTTCCCCAGCTTTCCTAATTTGGAGTCACTGAAAACTAAGCAGTGCTTCCTTAAAATCCTGTGAACAGAATCCAGACAATTTAAACTTCAGAAGAAAATAACAGCAACCTGTTTACATACATCAGCCACTTTTGTACCTGCCTAATATTGTATGGATTTCAGAGTAATGTTTCCTAGATCAATTTTTCCAGGATTGTTCCTCTGTTTGTTGTTGTTTTTCTTCCTTCCTCTTCCCTATTTTCTCTTCACAGGACACGAGACTTTACGACCTGCTAAAAATGAGCTTTTGGGACCTACCCATCTAGAAATAAACCCATCTAGAAATAGCCAGGAAAGATCAGACAAAACCTGAGAGCAGACTCATTTTCTAGTAAAATGCTTTCTCCAAAAGATTTTTAAAAAGAAAAGGGGGAAATGTTAAAGGAAAATATCTTGGGCCCCCGAAATCACCAAGGAAAACTCAAGCTGCAAACTGTGTAGGGGAAATCTGCCTCCCATTCTATTCAAACTCACCCCCTCTGCTCACTGAGATAGGTGCATACCTGATTTGCCTCCTTTGGAAAGGCTAATCAGAAATTCAAAACCTGGAAGTTCCCTCCCTGCTTAGAGTCTTCCTGCCTTTGCCTCAAGTTGTCCCACCTTCCCAGACCGAACCAACATACTTCTTACATATATTGATTGATGTCTCATGTCTCCCTAAAATGTATAAAACTAAGCTGTGCCCCAACCACCTTGGGCACATGTCATCAGGACTTCCTGAGGCTGTGTCATGAGCGTGCCCTCAATTTTGGCAAAATAAACTTTCTAAATTAACTGGGACCTGTCTCAAATTTTCGGGGGTTCACAGGAGCAAATTTGAATTTATGGCCACCTTGGCTTTTGGCGATAATCAATGGCTTCCCCTAAGATCAATTGCTCATTGATTTTCAATTTTACCATGACCTTCCTGCGTGTGCATGGGCCCGGGGGTGGTAGTGGCTGGCACTTGATTTTCCATTAAAGAGGCCCATGATTTTCTTTAAAAAAAGGAAAATATGGTTCTTGTTCAGTTATAAAATATTCATACTATAGGACAATAAGTTGCCTTATGGATCACCAGTGATCCTCAGACCAATCTCAGAAAACAACCAAAAAAATTCACTCTTTGGTGCATTGTCACAACACGTTTTAAGGCTGAAGCTAACTCAGTAATGGATTCAACTATGATCTATTTTGTATTGATGCAAAGTCATTTGGTAAAACATCATCCTCCAACAAAATGGTTCAAATAAGTATTGATGAAGTTGCAGCATGGAAAGCCTATTGTATTCAGGCAGTGTTAGGATTGTCTAAAATAAACAATCTTGGGATCCATAGATGTCTCAGATTTGCATTATTGTTTGAGGTGTAATTGAAATTAAAACATTCATAAGTGTATTTATGTCTGTCTCAGATTCAGAGAATGAGTGGCAAGGAAAGTCCTTGATATTACCAAATGAGTGAATAGCTTCTTGTAGTGTCTCTTATCTCTGAAAATTAAAGAGAAGTTTGTTCAATTATCATTCTGCATCATTGTATTAAAAAATACCTTTCTAGATTCATCTTATAAATATAGTTTTGAAAGTTATTTCAGTAAGATTGCAGAGAAGGCTTAATTTTTTCTATAGACTTTCAGATAGACAAGGTAACTAAGCTCTTTTTCTACAATGAAAACAAAACATATAAGCTTTCAGTAACTCTGGGTATGTTGAGCAGTGACTGGATAAAGTAGCAGTCAGGAGTTCTAAGTTCTAATTTCACCTCAGCTACTATTGTCTCTAAATCTGTTTGTACATCTAAGAAGCAAGCGGATTTAGTTTGTCTAGACTTCCAAATTTGGCTCTGCTGAATCTAGGGAGTTCCATGTTTTCCTCAAAAGTCACATTTAGGCAGGAGAGAAAGGAGAAAAGATTTCCTTTCATGTCTTGAGCAGTCAAAAATTTCAGGTTTCCAACACATTTCAACCAAATGATGGGTCTGATGTCCTTCATGCCCATGACTTTAGTAACCCTCTATATGCAGATAACTTCTAAATGTGTATCTCCATATCACATGCCTCTTGTGAGCATCCAATTGTCTGCATCCAATTGCCTACTCAATATCTCCAACTGAATGTTCCAAAACCCTATCACACTCAACATGCCCAAGACCAAATTCTTGATCTTCCACAACCAAATGGCATCTTGCTATGTTCTTTATCACAGTAAGTAGCATCAGTATCCTTTCAGTTGTGCAATCCTTAAAACTAGGCATTATCCTAGACACCTTCTACTTCCTTACCTCTATTTGTCCTCACTCTCACATCCTGTGAATTTGACTCTCTAATATTCCTTGAGTGATTTCACATCTCTCCATTAATCCTGTGACAAAACTAGTCCAAGCTGATATCATCTCTTGCCTGGATTATAAGAGTTTTCAAACTGGTCTGTCTGCTTCTTCTCTGAATCTCTGCCCCCTTTCAATCAATTCTCCATATTTAAAGCAGATTTACCTTTTAAAGCCAATTCTGACCTTGTTACTTTCTTTATTAAAGTATTCCAGTGGATCGCGATCATCTTTGGGAAAAGACCAAACTCCTTTACGTAGCTTACAAAGCTATATATATATATATAGTTTTTTTTTCCTGTCTCCTTCTCTAGATTCGTTTCATCTCACGTTGTCTTTGTTGTGCTGTAGCCACCTGCATCTTCCTTTCGGCTCTTGTATAGGCCATGGTCTCTTCTGCCACAGGATCTTTGCATGTGTTATCTTCATTTAAAATGCTCTTACTGCTCCATTCCATTCTCCAAATATCCCACCTGGTTAATTCCTACTCTTCCTTTAGACAATTGTTCAGGAGTTAATACTTCAGGAAAACTTTGCAAAATTCTCATTCTGGGTCACGTCTTTTGTTCTTTGATACTTTTATAACCACATTCCTTTTCTTCATCACATTTAATCCACTCATTTATGTGACTATTTTATAATATATGAATTCTCCAGTAGCTCTAAGCTCTGTGAGAATGAAGCTATGGCAGATTGCATTTTCCAAAGATGGTTGCAATAACATCTCCTATTTAAACATAATTTTCTGTGATGTTATCTTGTGACTTCCCCCATCAAAAGGTGGAGTTTGATTCCTCTCCTTTGAATTGGGACTGACTTACCAATGCTTTGGCTAATGGAATGTGTCACAGGTGACATTATGTGACTACTATGGCTAAGTCATAAAAGTCAGTGCAACTTCTTTTTTTTTTTAACCAGAACACTTGCATTTTGAGCCCTAAATCACCGTGTAAGAAGTTCGAGTACTCTGAGGCTCCTGTACTATGAAGAAACCAAGCCACATGGAGGTGCTCCAGTTGGCAGTCTTAGTCTTCATAGCATCCCAGCAAGGTGCCAGACATGTGGGTTAAAAAGCCTTTGATAATTTCAATCACCAGCCATCAATTAACTAATATCTCTTCAAGTTTATTATAATTATTGTTGTATCTCTACTTACTAATCAATTTCTTTCTCTGTGTATCCATTTTTTAAAATCATCATCAAGGATTTAGTGGTTTTTAAATGATGGTGGCAAGATCACTATCCTCATGTGTTAACTTAGACTGTTAAGAATTTGACTTCAAGAGTTGACTATATCAACAAAATTAACTTGTAGAAACTGGGAAATCATTACTGTCAATCTACTCAAGGCAAAGTCGTGAAGATGCAGTAGAGAGCATCAGAGAAAAAGTAGAAAAGTATTTTGCCATATGGACAGATAAACTTTTAAGCTACTAGAAGGTGACACATTTGAGAAATTACTAGTAACCCTCCTTATTTATTTTTATATTTTTTAAAAAGTAAAATCTGTCAGTTATGTCTTTTCTGATTAAATGGTAATATTGTGTGAGAAGGAAGTGAAGCCAAAGGAAACTCAGAGGCCAAAAAGTGACAAACCAAGAGTGCTTCATCCAAAATAAGTCCAGTTTACAGAAAGAAAAGAGAAAACAATGAGCTATATCAGCCCTCTGAGAAGTTCTTTGGAGGAAACAAGCCTAACACTAAACAAAGATCTTGGTGAAAATAATCAGCTGACTAGGTAGCACCAACCTGCAAGAAAGATACAAAAAATGTCTTCGTGTTTCTGGGTGTCATGCAATATAATTTTGGAGCTACAAATGCAGAATCTATTTATGAATGGCCATTATCTAAAAAATTAAGGGCAGTTATAGAAACTAATGTCCCGTTTCTGCTTTTTACTGCAGGTCTTTTTTTTTTTTTTCCATATTGTACCTCCCTTCCTTAGCTGAGACATGAGAGTAATCTTGTAATTCAGCAGCCACACTCAGCATTTATGACATAATTGTGTTTGTATGCGAGTTTCATACACACACACACACACACACAAACACACCCCACACATATTTCCACCATCTTCATTTTGGCAAAATAATCTCAAATACATAAATTCACAAATGCACAGATACCACTAGGAAAACTCACAGTAGGATTTGCAAAATATATAAAGGATATAAGCATCAGTTTTATTTTCAAAGTTTGGTGTGTGTGTGTGTGTGTGTGTGTGTGTGTGTGTGTGTGTGTGTAGGCTGCAATGCCAGTTATTGCCTCTCAATCTGAAATGCTGTGAGACATCTCCTTTAGGAACTATACTCATGTTGTCCTGAAAGATAAAATAGTTACAAAATGTTCCCCAAATAATAAGACACATTGATCCAGTGGCTGTAATTGTTTGAAATGTAAGAGTTAAATATTTAGACATCCCCAAAGTAGGCTTCCTTGAGTATCTGTGAAAATAACATCCTTTATATCAGGAATGGGGCGTTTCTACTCATCATCGGGCCTCAGAAACCATCAATTCTGAGTCATGATAAATGACTTCACTTTTACTGCAAAATGACTCATAAACAACTTAGAGCTCAAGAGATTGTTTTGCAAGCTATTTTAAATTTATCTGGCTATCTTCCTCATTTAAAGATCAATATCCATATGGATCTTTACATAAATTCTCTTTTAGAACAGGTAATATCAACAAGCAGCCCATGAAATTGGAATGCTTGTAAGGTATTTTGAAATTACTCAGCAGATTTTCTTGTTACTGTGGCCTTGATTTTTTAAATTGTAACTGCCTCTAGATTTGTTATTTCTCTCTTTGACAATCAGACATTCACAGGTATGCTGGGCTAGAGGAATCAATCATAGAAAAAGTCCCAAGGACCATTTTTAGATTACTCCCTAATTTAGTTTAATGGAGGCTGAGAGTATAGTACAGAATTTTATTTTATGTGCTGTAATATTAAATATTTATGTGTGTGCAGGACTTTCCCATGCCTGGTATGAGAACAGTAGTCGGAGTTCCCTATTAATCTACTGTCTTCAACGTTAGGAAGGGAAAAATAAATCTCTGGTTTGCCAAAAGGTGAAGAAACATTTAAAGTCTAAACTCTCATTATCAGATTTACAAATATGAAAAAGACTAAAAAAGTGTTGCAGAGGGTGAGGGGAAATGGACAATTTTCCTTCTAGAGGCCAGTTTAATACAGTAAACCAATTTAAAAAATTTTGTCTTGGGAACTAATCACATAGATATAGTAGGCGCAAGAATATTTATCAAAATATTAAACAATGGAAGAGGAATAGAAACAAACTCAATATTCATCAATAGGGCACCAGTTAAGTAAAATATGATGTTTTATGTCTTAGTTTGGATTTTCCATATCTGTGCTGTCTAAAACGGTAGCCATTTTACTGACCATAACTACATAACTACTGAACACTTGAAATATGGCTACACACCTAATTTCACCCCATATCACCATGCACAACTAATTTCAGAGATGTACTGTGAAAAGAATAGAGACTATTTTATTAATAATTTTTTTATTTTAATTCCATGTTGAAATAATAATTTTTATATATTAAGTTAAATAAAATATATTGTTAAAATTAATTTCATCTGTTTCTTTTTACTTTTTGATGTGATTACCAGAAAATTTTAAATTGCATATATGGCTTGTGTTTGTGGCTTGCATTATATTTCTAGAAATAGCACCACTCCAGAAGTAAACCTTGAGACAAGGATTTTTATGCAAGCAATTTATTAAAGAAGTGTTTCTGGAAGAATCTGGCGAAAGATTGGGAAAAGCAGGAAGGGGAATCAGAAGAAACCAAGCAAGTGTATGATTCAGATAAGTTTCAATCTCAGCCTGATCTTGCAGGAAGCTCTGGAGCATGAATTACACCTCAGAGTTTGTCCCACCTTGAGGCAAACTGAGCTGGGCTTTCCTATCCCTACATCAAGCAGTCCTTGAAACTCAAGGGTCACCCTGAGGAGAGGTAAACACTCAGGAATTTCTGGCTCTCCATTGCCTTGGTGAAGAAGTTCCTATAGACCAAGGACACACTCTAAAGAAGGTCACAGGTGGCCGGGCGCAGTGGCTCATGCCTGTAATCCCAGCACTTTGGGAGGCCGAGGCGGGTGGATCATGAGGTCAGGAGATCGAGACCATCCTGGCTAACACGATGAAACCCCGTCTCTACTAAAAATACAAAAAATTAGCCGGGTGTGGTCGTGGGCGCCTGTAGTCTCAGCTACTCGGGAGGCTGAGGCAGGAGAATGGCGTGAACCCAGGACGCAGAGCTTGCAGTGAGCCAAGATTGCGCCACTGCACTCCAGCCTGGGCAACAGAGTGAGACTCCGTCTCAAAAAAAAAAAAAAAAAAAAAAAAATGGTCACTGGTGCAAGCCAATAGAAGCAAAGCACACGGGAGCTGGGGGGTGGGTGAATATAACAAGTTATAAAGATCTGAGGGAATGAGAGCAACCCACTGACAGTGTCAGCTATACTTTACGTAATGGAACGCTATGCAATGATTTTTTAGATTTAGATTTATGGACATAGAACATGTCCATAACATAGAATGACATATAAAAGCATATTAACAAGCATCATATATGATCCTGCTTATATAAAATTACATACATATTTCTATCTTCACAGAAATATGTTTGGAAGGATTATCCACTGAAACATTAAGAGAGTATAAATCTGCATTGTGAGATTTTACTGATTGTAATTTTATTCTTTGTTCTTTTATTTGATTTTTGACAATATATACATTTCATGTATTAGAAAAACAAAAAGCTATTAAATGGACTAATAAAGTGAAGGTAATAAGTAAAACCTAAGATCTGAGATATGAGAACCTGTGAAATTTTACTAAATTCATGAATTAGTCATCCATGACATTTTTAGGATACCTGGAATGCACCTGGTTATGTGATCATGGATGACATTCATCTCGTGTATACTCATATGATCAAATGGCTAGCCTCTGTTCTGCCTGGAAATTGTATGTGCTATGCTGGTCAGTAACTTGATGAAAAGAACTATTAAGACATGAATGTATATGGTCAAATTGGCCACAGGTTAATTAAAGGATAAAAGAGGATGCCTGAACCAGAGGACCCAAGGTTCAATACATTCTAAATAAGCAAAACATCCTGAGGGATTGCAGAACTAAATACGAATGTTTTAAATAAAGATAAGATCAGTAACAGTGCCTTTCCCAGCTGTATTAGAGCCTGAGGTAAAAAAAAAAAATTAGTAATACTCCTTCTTTCTTTGATAAAAAATGACTACATTTCCTTCAAGATGGAATTTTGCATCAATTTTTGTTTTTTAAGGTACCACATTAAAATATCTCATTTGATTACTGAGAATTCTGGTATCCCCATAAATTTTGCATCCTAGGTAAGTGCCTCACTCACCTCACTTGCCTCCTCTTAGTCCCAGCTTAAGTTGGAAGTGTCTCATGAAACAGCCTTAGTCTAACTAATCATTTGATGTACACATAAAACTATCATCTGCATATCACTTCTGAAAGTTGGCTGCCAGAGTGATAAATAGAAAACCTTGCTGTAACCCTTCCTTTCATTACTGGCAATCCAGCACTGTCTTTACCTGAATTATATGAGGAAGAATAGAGGATGTTGAGACACAAGGATTTTCAGATCTGTTTGAGAACCATTAACAAAGCGGTAAATAATATGTGCTGAAGATGTGCTAATATTTACATGTATTTTAACACAGAGATAGCAAAACTAAAAAAAAAAAAAAAAAAAAAAAAAACACCAAGGAGAAAAATCGTTCATACAGACACAAAAGTGATCATTAAAGAGAAAACTCATAGGTTGGGAATTACAGAGAAATAACTTCTAGCAAAGGGTCTTTGGTATAAATTCCAACATTCATTAATGGCTTCATGGGATCTTGCATTAAGACTTACAGAAAAACATGTGCAGGACTGCATTACAGTGCATTTTCATATTATTTATCACTTTGTTTGCTCTCAGATATTTAGCTTCCCTTAATAAGAGTATTCTGAAAGGATCAATATATTGAAAATTGCTCCCACTCTCTCTTTCACTCTCACAAGTACCTCTTTCATAAAACCTTGCCCTTAAATAGTTCACAAAATGAATAGTAAAAATAGAATAGGTTAAGACTAAAAGTTGCGTCTTTTTTTTTCCCTGAAAGCTTTGTGTAAAATTGTATATGCAGTCATATATTTATAGTTTTCCCAATATATTTATGCTAGTGCATGTTTTATCCTTTCTCTAACTTTACAGAAATGCATATTTTCAAGTTGCATTTCTATTGCAGATCCTAAATCTTAAAAAGAATCCTTGTGCTAAAAAATAGTGATTTGCATTCTTGTTTACAAATAAAATTCAAATAGAGTTGACTAGTCATCTATGAAGCAGTTGAGAATTAATGCTTGAATAATTTTCTTAAATGATGCAATATAGTTTCTCCACAGGGGGCAATATGATATATGAAAAGTTCAGTTACTTTGGGGATATTTGTTTTATATTGTGAAAATCACATCTTGAAGGATATCCCTCAGAATTAAGTAACACTCAGAACCAAAAATTATTACATGCCTTTTGGCAAGATCAATACAACATAGTGGTGGGAGACACTTGAAAATATTTTTCTGATAAAATGTATAGAGTTACTGACTCTTTTACAATGCTCACTTTGAAACGGGTTGAAATGAAAAAGAACATACAGTGCAGAAAATGAGCTCTCTAGCAGATGCTGTTGGTGATAGACCATATCCCCTTGGCACATGCTGTTCCAGAGCATGTGAAGGGTGTTCAGGGCTAATCCAATGACAAATAGGAGGTGGAGAATAAACTCCTCAGCTTCCTTGCCCTTTGAGAGTAGGGTAAGGAGTAGACAGCTTGGAAGATTGTTCTACATTGTCTCCCAGAGTTTCTCAGTGGAATTGAACCTCAGTTGCTCATAGTGACAATTTGTTTGATAAAGTACTCTGTATTCACTTCCTTCTTTTCCCTGTTTCCATTCCTACTCTCCTACTAAGTCTTCCTGCGATCACTTCCCAGACAAACTACTTGCACTTGAGCCATTGATGCAGAGCCTTCTGGAAGGGTCACAAACCAAAGTAATCTCCTTGGAGTAAGTGAATGAAGAAATGAATCTAGTAATGAATTCACATTGATCTCTCTGTCAGTTCCCAAATCACTGAGTTTGGTGCAGCTCTCCTAGAACCTTTAGATGCTTTAAACTCTGCTGTCTTTTACAAAAATGAAACAAAATAAAATGAAAAGTATCTCATTTTATATACTTCCTTCCTCTCCTCTCAAAGTACATAATTCTTGAAAGCAAGCTCTCATGCCTGAGAGTGTACAATCTTGATGTAGAATATTAGGCACAAAATAAAAAATGAAAAATTTTGAACTATTGTTCTCAAAGCCTCTACATAATGACAGCTTTTATGGCCTAGTGTTGACAAATGAAAAGGATACCCTGCAGGCCAACTGTGTACATTCACAAAATAAACTATTGAAACAGCTTGGGGAATTTTTTTTTTTTCAAATGAAACAGGTCCACTTGAACATGTCTTGCTCAAAAGTCATTTGTAACCCTTGGCATTTCATCTGGACTTCTTTATGCTTGCCACTGGGGCCACATTAATATTTGAACATCATACTGGCAAAACAGATTCACCAAGGCAGTGGGAAGACAAGGTATAAGGACTGTCTTCAGCTGTATCTGAAAAAATGAGCAGAATAATGCTGAAGAGCCTGGACATAACTGTGTCCCTTAAAAATATACAGCACTAAAAAACTGAGATGTGTTGCCATAAAGAGCAGTAATCTTTGTACGTTTAAAATTCAACCCTTCAATTCCCATGTTTGTATCTAAATGTCCCACCCTTTGTCATTGCTTTGTAGCATTTACCACTGGAAAATGCAGTGTATTATTCAGATGTCAGTACAGGTGTTACTTAATGCACACCTGAAAATCCCAGACATTCCAAACATGAAAATTCATAGCTGTATTCATGATAAGCAAAAAACTGTAAGCAACGATATGACATTATATTTGAAAAAAATCTGAAGACTCCACCAAAAAAAAAAAAAACTACTAGAACTGATAAATTTAGTAAAGTTTAAGGATACAAAATCAAGATGCAAAAATCAGTAACATTTTCATATGCCAACACTGAAAAATCTGAAAAAGAAATAAAAAATAATCCCACTTACAATAGCCACAAATAAAATGAAATACCTAGGAATTAACTTAACCAAAGAAATGAAAGACCTCTACAATGAAAACTATGAAACACTGAAGAAAAAGAAATGAAGAGGACAAAAAATGGAAATATATTCCTTGTTCATGGACTGGAAGAATCAACATTGTTAAAATGTCTATACTACCGAAATAAATCAACAGATTCCATACAATCCCTATTAAAATGCCTATGACATTCTTCACAGAAATAGACAAAAAAACTCGAATTTATATGGAATCACAAAAGACCCAGAATAGCCAAAGCTATCTTGAGCAAAAAGAACAAAACTGGAGGAATCACTTTACCTGACTTCAAGTTATACTACAGAGCTATAGTAACCAGAACAGTATGGCACTGGCATAAAAACAGACACGCAGACCAATGAAGCAGAATAAAGAATTCAGAAACAAATCTACACACCTACAGTGAACTCATTTTCAACAATTATGCCAAGAACATACACTGGGGAAAAGACAGTCTTTTAAATAAATGTTGCTGGGAAAACTGGATATCCATATGCAGAAGAATGAAACTAGACCCCTACTTCTTGCCATATACAAAAATCAAATCAAAATGGACTAAAGACTTAAACCTAAGGCCTCAGACTATGAAACTACTACAAGAAATATTGAGGAAACTCTCCAGGACATTGTTCTGGGCAAAAATTTCTTCCATAATACCCTGCAAACACAGACAACAAAACGAAAATGGACAAATGAGATCACATCAAGATAACAAGCTTCTGTACAGCAAAGGATAACCCATAGAAAGGGAGAAGATATTTGCAAACTACCAATCTGACAAGGGATTAATAACCAGAATACGTGAGGAGCTCAAACAATTCTATAGGGAAAAATCTAATAATCCAGTCAAGAAATGGGCAAAAGATTTGAATAGACATTTCTCAAAAGAAGTCATACATGGCTGGGCATGGTGGCTCACACCTGTAATCCCAGCAATTTGGGAGGCTGAGGCAGGTGGATCACCTAAGATCAGGAGTTTGAGACCAGCCTGGCCAACATGGCGAAACCCTGTCTCTACTAAAAATACAAAAATTGGCTGGGTGTGGTGGCAGGCGCCTATAATCCCAGCTACTCAGGAGGCTGAGGTAGGAGAATCGCTTGAAGCTGGGGGCAGAGGTTGCATTGAGCCAAGATCATGCCACTTCATTCTAGCTTGGGTGAAAGAGGACATACAAATGGCAAACAGGTATATGAAAAGGTGTTCAATATCAGAGAAATGCAAATCAAAACTACCTGAGATATGAGATATCATCTCACCCAAATTAAAATGGCTTTAATTTAAAAGTTTGCCAGTAACAAACGTTGGTGAGGATGTGGAGAAAAAGCAGCCCTTGTACACTGCTGGTGGGAGTGTAAATTAGTACAACCATTATGGAGAACAATTTGTAGGTTCTTCAAAAAAGAAACTAAAAATAGAGCTACCATCTGATCCAACAATCCCACTGCTGGGTACATACTCAAAAGAAACGAAATCAGTATATTGAAGAGATATCTGCATTCCTATGTTTGTTGAAGCACTGTTCACAATAGCCAAGATTAGGAAGCAACCTATTTGTCCATTAACAGGTGAATGCATAAAGAAAAGGTGGTACTTATACACAATGGAGTACTATTCAGTCATAAAAAAGAATGAAATGCTGTTATTTGCAATAACATAGAAGGAAATGGAGGTTATTATATTAAGTGAAAATAAGCCAGGAACAGAAAGACAAACATCATCTGTTCTCACTTATTTGTCGGATCTAAAAATCAAAACAAGTGAACTCATTGAGATACAGAGTAGAAGGATGGTTACAGAAACTGGGAAGGGTAGTGGGGGGCTGGGAGGAAGGTGACAATGGTTAATGGGTACAAAAAAAATACAAAGAATGAATAAGACTTAGTATTTGCTAGCAAAACAGCAGAACTATAGTAAATAAAAATTTACTTGTACACATTAAAATAACTAAAAGGGTATAATTGAATTGTTTGTAACACAAAGGATAAGTGCTTGAGGGGATGAATACCCAGTTTTCCATGATATAATTATTATCATATTATACCTTTATTAAAAAATCTCATGCACTACTTAAATATATACACCTACTATGTACTCAGAAAAATTAAAAATTTTAAAAATTATAAAACTGCAAGCAACCCAAAGGTCCATTAAGAATTAAATGGATAAGCAAATCAAGGTATATACACGCAGTGAGATACTATACAACTATACAAAGGATCAACATGAATGAATCTCAAAAATATATTAAGTGAAAGAAGCCAGACACAAAAAGCTATATACTATATGTGCCATTTATATGAAATTCTAGAAAGGGGGAATCTAATCAATAATAGAATGCAGATCAGTGGCTGCCGAGAGCCAGGGGAGGATTGACTGCAAAGGAGGCTTGAAAGAACGTTTTGTGGTAATGAAAATGTTCTACATTTTGATTGTGATGGTTCCTACATATGTTTAAAAATATATCAAAACTCATTGAACTGTACACTTAAATTGGCACATTTTATTATACGTAAATTAATCTCCAATAAAGTTCATTTGAAATAAAACTTATTTGTATCTTCTACCAAAACTTTATTTAACTAACAAACCAATTGCTATCATTTAGTAAGCAGGGCACTGAGCAAAATAAACTTAGGACAGTTATATTTTGTCAAGGGTTCCAGACAGACTTGAGTATCATCTTTCATTGTAGGCATCTAGGGGAGCCCGGGACTCTAGAAACCTGATACTTGAAAAAATGTATCTAAAAGAAACAGTAGAAGGGGAGGAGAAGAAAAGAGTAACAAAAACAAAAGGAAACAAAAGCACATTTGACCACCTTCAGAATTTTGCCTGCTGACAAACAATACTGTTTCTGCATCATCACTCTGCTTGCCCACGCCCAGGAATACCATGTTTATGTGTGGGTGTAGTGGGGGCGAGGAGGAGCAAGGGTATCAAAACATGGGCATGCATCTATTGGTGGTGTCTTAAGATGAAAAATTTAAAGATACATTTTGGAGCGAAGATTATCTCAAACTTTAGTGAACATTAAAATCACCTGCACAGTTAGTCAACATGCAGATCCCTGGGCCCCACCACAGAGATTCAGTGGGTCTGGAGTAGAGCTGAGATTTTGCATTTCTAGCAAGATTCTGGGTGATGCTGATGCTGATGCTGCTGGCCAAGAGACCACACTTTGTGTAGACCTGATCTTTAACCCTAATGCTATGCTGAAGTAGGGATGAACGCTCATATTTAATTATTGCTGAAAATTGTGCTGTTGTCATGGCCAAAGCATGTTGGCTCAGAACTTTTTTAGAAGAGAGAATTTATTCAAGAGAGCTCTGATTTTGTTCCTTGCTCCAAATTTGGTCGGTATTTAATGAATACTCCTTGGAATTTGTTGATAAGAGGAGGTGAGTGAGCTTAAGAAAATAGATCCTAGTTGCTTACCATTTATTTCTCAGAAAATCCCAAGTGTCATCTGTATGTGTGAGCAGGGCTCCCTGGTCCTGCCATCAAAATGTGAGAGGTGATTGCCTGAACCCCTTCAGTTGGAAGTTAATGCTTTTGTGATCCCCAGAATATGCAATTAATGAGTTTCATTCTACTGACATTTTTAATGTCAACATTACCAACAGCAGATGGGAGATGTCTGCATTGGGTGTCTGTTTCCAATTAAGATCTTTAATTTATGATAAATGAATACGTTTCAATCATGTCTGCCTTGCATTCAGTGTATGCTTGGTTGATCAACAATAAAAGCTGCCAGGAATGTTTTGGCACACAAAGAGAGACTGAGTCAGCTTATAGGTGGAAGGCTCACTGTTTTAATGGTTCCTTAAATTACTTAAATCAGAAAAACTAAAAAGAAGGTAACAAATGAGCTTAGTGGTTTTGTTTAATATATGTACGTGAAAATTTGAAAAATTAAAGAGGAGAAAGAAATACCTGTAGACATCCCCACCCTAAAACAAACCCTGTTAGCATTTAGGTATCTTATTCTGGTCTTTGGACTATGCATAGAATCATTTAGATAAGTATAATTACATATTGATTCTTAAGTTTTTCACCTAACATATCCTATGCTTTATTTTCCCAGTTTTCCACAATCTGTTACGGCTATCTATTGCTTCATAACAGATCACCCCAAAACTTAGTGGCTGAAACAAGAAGATTAATTTGGCTTAAGAATCTGCAATTTTGGGAATGCTTGGCAGGGACAGCTGGACTCTGCTACTCTCAGTACTAACTGGGGCATTTCAAAGGCTGGGGGCTGAATCAACTGATGGCTTGCTCATGCACAGGTATCTTGGTTGATGCTGGCTGTTGGCTGGGGCCTTAATTTGGCCTGTCAGCAGAAACGCCACATGCAACCATTCCATGTTGCTTAAACTTCCTCACAATATGGTAGCTATATTCCAAGGGTGGGCTTCCCATGAGAGTAAGCCAGATAGAAGCTGCATTGGCTTTTATGATCTAGCTCTGTAAGTCACACAGCATGACTTCCACTACTTTTTTTTTTATTATTATAAATGAGTCTGTATTTATACAGCCTGTATTCAAGGGAAGGGAAATTAGACCCCACCTTTTTATGGCAGGAGCTTCAAAAATTTTGTTGATATCTTTTATAAAATGTGGCATAAAATGCTATCAAGTGAATATAGCAATCTTAACCATTTCACCTACAGTTACATTTGAGTTGCTACTGTTCTTAGACTGTGATTAACATCTTTATTTAGCAGGTTTTCTAGAAATAATTATTCCTTGCATTCCACCAACTAGTTTGCAAAAGAGGATTTTTGTTACACATATAGGCACTTAGTAAAGGTAATCTGATTTTTAAAGGACTAACATAACCAGATCTTAACTGTAATAAGATCTTTCTAAGAGCTAAGGCTGCCTTAATAGATGACAACCTTAGAAAGAGATGGGGGAAGCAGGTAGATGCTCTTACCTTACAACATCCAAGAAATCCAAATGCATCCAAAAGTGTAAAATTTGCACTGAGTCACAACATTTTCCAATACAAGATGGACTGTCAGAAAAAATGTTTCAAGGTTATTTGGCATTAGTGGGTGTAGAAGCTGGAAAGTTGATATGCCCCATAAAATGCAGGGGGACAAATGCTGGTGATAAATATGTTTAGGGTCTCCCCTAGGGCATATGGGGTCATGAGTAAATATTTTTGTTGGGTTTCTGTCTATAGAAACAGTTTGGTTAAAAATATATGACAAAATTCATAGACCCATCTAATTTAATGATGAATACTCAGAATCATGGGTACAGAAGAGGCACTTACATATTTGTTTATTGTCCAATCACAGTATATAAAAATTATTTGTGTTACCTAGGCAGCATCTTTTCCCATTCAAAGGCAAGAACCATCTGTTCATGTATTTTGTGGTCAAATTGCCATTCCTGGATAATTTCATATCTCCCCCTAGAAGGAAAAGGTAACAACACTATTTTACTCACAACACCATGACTTTTCACTCTTTGTATTGAAATAATATAGATCTTCTTATATCTGTAGTTCTCTATTATCCTTTATTTAATGGAGGTTATATCACTACTCATAATTCTGTATCTCCATTGTGCTGCCCATGAATATTGGCTTCCAGTGACTGTCTTAAAAGTTGTTACTGTGCTTTATTGATGATGATTATTCAGGTAAATCTTACCCAGTGTATGCAGGAAAACGTGAACAGTAATTCATTTTCTGGTCATGATAAACTTACATTTGAGAATTTTATAGAGTAAATGTAGAAAAAATACATATCCAACCATGTCCTTTCTCATACTATTTACTCTACAATCACTACACTTCTAGAATATGACTGTACCCCTTCGTACAACACATCACCACAAATGGGAAGGATGGGCAAGGTACACTTGGGCAGAGTGAGAAAAGCAGAAGGAATATCTATTTTTAGTCTAGTCCAGTAGTGTCACTCACAGAGGAGACAGCCCCAGCCAGTTTCAGTGACCAGAAGGATTCTTAGAAATTTTCAAGGAAGGCATTCTAAAGCACTGGACTTTCTGTGTAGCCTTAAGCTGGGGGCCTGGGGGCAGAGGCTCAGTTTGCCTAGGTTTAAAGGCAATATTGAACACAACCACAGATGACGGAAGAAAGTTAATTCTTGCAGATAAATGCTTTTAGGTGAGAGTATAATAACAAGTGATACATTATAGTATAGAAGGGTGGCCAGGTTCAGGGAGGTCAGCAAAGTGATAGACAATGCTCTGGCAGCAAAAAATAAAAATCCTCATGATGGATCACATGGAAGTGGACTCCATGAAGAGATTGACACTAGAAAAGAGTTACTGAATTTTAGTTAAGTAGTTTTAAAACAGTGTTCCAAGCTCCAGGCTCTGTGGTGTTTTCTTGAATGTTGACTTTCAATTCTCATCTTTCTTGATCCATTAATAGAGTTTGACACAGTTTATCATTATTTCTACCAAAATACTTCCTTTACTTCCAGTGCATTAAACTCACTTAGTTTTCCATTTAACTTTCTGGCTGGTATTTCTGTCTCCCATGCTGATTTTCCTTCACCTCATGGACTGCTAAATATCAGAGTGTCCACATCTTAGTCCTTGGGTTTCATCTCTTCTCTATTTACCCTCACTTCCTTGACGTTCTCATCTAGTTTCATGGCTTTAAATACAATTTATATGCCCTTGACTCCCATATTCATATTTTCATCTCAAATGTCTTCTGTGAACTTCAGAATCATATATACTACTAGGCACTTGATATCTCAACATGGATGTCTAAGAGACATCTCAAAACAAATGTCCAATTCTAAACTCCTGATATTCAATCTCCCCCAAATTGATGAGTCCATAGCATTCTCTATCTTATTTGATGACCACACTATCCCTCCACTTGCTGAGAACAAAAAACTTGGAATACTTCTTCACTCTTATGTTTCTCTAATAGCTAGTGGTGTCCTGAAGCCAGCTCAAATGGGCACATAAGAGCCAATGGTGCACATGTCTTCCCAACTCTGTGTTCAGTAATGTTATATTGGTAGCTTGAAATCAGCCATTGTAGAAATATCTACTTCATGAAAATCAATACATTTTACATATCAGGCCTCCCTTCCCCTTTCTCATGCCAATCTGGTTGTTCAGCATTTATCGGCACATGGCTGCATATACATGTCATCCCCAATCCATCAGCAAATCTTATTGGTTCTGCCTTCAAAATATACCCAGATCCAACGATTTCCTACTACCTCCATAGATACTACTCCAGGCTATCTGAGTCACATAAATTCTCACGTGGGTTTAATGTGTAACATCCTGACGGGTCTCTCTGATTCTGCTCTTGCATCCTAATAGTATATTTCCCAAATAGTAGCCAGAGTGATTTTGTTAAGATGAGTCAAATTATATCACTGTTCTAGTCAAAATCTCCAGTTGTTTCCCATCTACTCAAGAGTAAAAGTCAAAGTCCTTATGATATCCACAAGGCTCTCCATGATCTGATCTTCTGTTGTCTCTCTAACCTAATTCTCTCCTGCTGTTTTTCTTGTCTATTCAACTTCAGTTATACTGGCCTCCTGGCTGTTTCTCAACAACACCAGGCATACTCATGCCTCAGGATATTTGCACTTGCCTCGAACCCATCCCCAAACCCTATATTCTTTCTCCAGATATATCCCTCAGCTCCTTCAGTCACTAATAAAATGTCATCTTATTGCAGCCTTTCCTGAAACCCTATGTAAAGTTTCAATCCATACCTTCTTCACACACGCACACACACACACACACACACACACAGCACTTCCTTTCTCCCTTCCTTGCGTTATTTTTCACTTAGAAATCATAACCATCTAACAAATTAAATATTTATTTTTCTTATTTATTTTCTATTTCCTCTATTAGAATGGAAGCACCACTAGAGCAGGGATTTATGTCTATTTCATTTCCCAACGTATCTCCAGCACCTACAAGAGTTCCTGACACATGATATGTAAGTTCTCAATATAAATTGTTGAAATTAATGTATGAATAGCACATATGGGTAAAGGATGAGGTCGAGTGGGCAGTGTTCTGTGATTTACAGGCCCACTGAACATTTAACTCAGTTTTTTAGATATTGTGTTGTAATATGTTTTACATATTGTATTGTGCATATGTAAAACACTTGTGAAGAAGTATTATTGCATAAACAATAATAACAGTTATAGCGATAAGGTTTAAAATACACTGTTCTCATCTAATACTCCTATTTTATCTATTGCAGAAGCTGAAAGTGACAGAGATGAAGGGGCTTGCCTAAGGTCTCACAATCATACCCGTAATTCCCAAGACTAAGTGGGGTAAAGGGAGGAGATAGCATAGAGCTGTGAATTTGGGTATCACTAGAGACTCTGCCATCACCACTGGAGTGGAGTAAAAAAGAAGTTGTGGAATGAGCTTTTCAAGAAGAATGTCAATACGATTTACAAATTCTAGTAATAGTAATTACATGATTAGGACCATGGAAGTGCACCTATGGCTCATTGCTAATTAGGTGAAGAAATCAGACTCTTCTAATTAAGAATACAAAGTGGCAATATGTGAGGAAAACATAACTTTACAAGAAAGTCAAAGTTTAAATATAAATTACACTAAGATGAAGTATGATTTAGTACAAATAAGTAAGATACGACAAAGCTACACCTTCACTAATCTGATGATTTAGGAACGAGGGAAGGGCCAACTGATTCTCTGAATTCTTATATAATCATTTTGGGGTTACAACAAATGATAGTTCTAGCCATTTTTGTAGGATGTGCTTGTTTATACCTGAAAGTTATTTGTCATTTTGTGGTGCATTTTGCTTATAAATCAGTTCTTCCCCAGAAACATCTCTGAAAGGATCACCTCAAAAGTAGGTTTTGGTGCAAATAGTTCTTAAAAAACTAATAGTTATTGCTTGGTTTGGTTTCATTTGGTATCATCCTGATGCTTTCTGCTAGTAGTATTTGTTTTTATTTTTAATAAGACAGCTGGCTTTTTGCTTCCTGTAGACTTATCTTTATGCCTATGAACAAGCACTAGGGATTTTAAAAATCTAATAATAATCCAACTTCTTCCCATTGTTCACAATTTTTATCATTATTTTAAAAAATCACCTTAGAAAAGATATTGCTTATTTAATTTATTTATTTTTACTACAGTTTATTTCCTTCTGATAATGTTCAATTAAAATTAAAGTTAATTTCTATGTTAAATATTAGCAGGGGTTGTTTCTGGATGGTAGAATTGGGAGTGTTTATTAAAATTATCCCCAACCTCAGGCAGCACAGCTCACAGTTCCTTCCCACACTTCTAGAGAGGAGAGAGAAGAGTAAAGAGAACTTTATCTTGCAACTTGGATACTAGCTCAGCCACAATAACAGGGTACCAGGGAGAGTCATAAGGCCCCCATTCCAGGCCCCAGCTCACAGATGATATTTCTAGACACAACCTGGGCAAGAAGGGAACCTGCTACCTTGAAGGGAAGAACTCAGTCCTGGTAGGATTCATTACCTGCTGAATAAAGAGCCTTTGGGCTATGAAAAATGGGGTGCAATCCCCAGGCAGTACTTGCCATGGGCCTTGGGTGAGACTCAGAACCATGCTGACTCTCAGGTGAGTGCAGCACATTCCCAGCTGTCTTGGCTATGGGGAGAGACACCTTCTGCTTGAGAAAAGGAGAAGAAAGAGTAAGGGAACTTGTCTTCCAGCTTAAGTACAAGCTTGGCCACAGTGGGATGGAATACCAAGTGGGCTCTTGGGCTTCCTGATTTTAGGCCTTTGTTCTTACACAGCATTTCTGGACCTTCCCTGGGACAGAGGGGAGCCCACCACCATGAACGGAGAGTCCCAGGCCTGCCAGCATTCACCACAAGGTCACTGAAGAGCCCTTGAGCTTTGAGTGAACACTGACAATAGCCAGGCAGTACTCTTCATGGCCCTGGAGCAATGGTGGCAACAGAGACAGACTCCTCCACCTGTGGAAAGGAGAGGGAAGAGTGGGAAGAACTTTGTTTTGTGGCTTAGGTGCCAGCTCAGCCTCAGTAGAATGGAACACTTGGTTGATTCCTAAGGTTTCTGACTCTAGACCCTGGCTTCTAGACAGCATCTCTGGACCCACCCAGGGCAAAAGGTAACTGGCTGCTCAAAGGGAAAGAACACCAAGCCTGGCTGGTTTTGCTACCTGCTGAGTGTAGAGCCCTAGGACCATGAGAGAACATAGGTGGTAGCCAGGCAGTGGTTACCACAATGTATGAGCAAGACCTAATATGGTGCTGGCTTCAGGTCAGACCCAGAGAAGGCCCAGTGGTGATGGCCACAGGGGTGCTTGTGTCACTTCTCCCCGAGCTACAGGCAGTCCAGCAGAGAGAGAGAGAGAGAGAGAGAGAGAGAGAGAGAGAGAGACTCTGTTTGGGACAAAGTAAGTGAAGAGAACAAGAGTCTCTGGTGATTCAGAAATTCTTCCAGATCTTATCCATTATCACCAAGGCAGTACCTCTATGAGTCTGTAAGAGCCACAGCATTACTGGGCTTGGGGTGTCCCCTAATGCAGATATGGCTGCAGAGACCAAAAACTTAGATCACAACACCCAAGTCCCTTCAAATACCTGGAAAGCCTTCCCATGAAGGACGGGTACAAACAACGCCAGACTGCAAAGACTAAAATAAATACTTAACTCTTCAATGCCCAGACACCAACAAACATCCACAAGCATCAAGACCATCCAGAAAAGCATGACCTCACCAAATAAACTTAATAAGGTATCAGGGATCAATCCTGGAGAGACACAGATATATGACCTTTCAGACAGAGAATTGAAAATAGCTGTTTTGCACTATTCATAATAGCAAAGACATGGAATCAACCCAAATGCCCATCAATGATAGACTGGATAAAGAAAATGTGGTATATATACACCATGGAATACTATGCAGCCATAAAAAGGAACAAGATCATGTCCTTTGCAGGGACATGGATGGAACTGGAAGCCATTATATTCAGCAAACTAATGCAGGAACAGAAAACCAAACACTGCCTGTTCTCACTTATAGGTGGGAGCTCAACAATGAAAACACATGGACACAGGGAGGGGAAAAACACACACGGGGCCTGTTGGGGGGTGGGGTGTGAGGAGGGAGAGCATTAGGAAAAATAGCTGATGCACGCTGGGTTTAATACCTAGATGATGGGTTGATAGGTGCAGCAAACCACCACAGCACACGTTTACCTATATAACAAACCTGCATATCCTGCACATGTACCCTGGAACTTAAAATAAAAATAAAAATTAAAAAAAAAAGAAAATAAGTGTTTTAAGGAAAACAAAGAAATTCAAAATAACACAGAAAACGAATACAGAATCCTATCAGATAAATTTAACAAATAGAAAGACTCAAACAAGAAGACAGGGAAGAATGAAAGAAGGAAGAGAAGACCACAAAACAACCAGAAAACAATAATAAAAAGGAAGGAGTAAGCCCTTACTTATCAATAATAACATTGAATGTAAATGGACTAAACCACCCGATCAAATTACGTATACTGGCTGAATGGATTTTTAAAAAGACCCAAAGATCTGTTCCCTACAAGAAATATACCTCACCTATAAAGACACACATAAACAGAAAATAAAAGGATGGAAAAATACATTCCATGCCAATGGAAACCAAAAAAGATCACAAATACCTATACTTATGTCAGACAAAATAGATTTCAAGACAAAAACTATAATAAGAGACAAAGAAGGTTACTATATAATGATAAAGGGGTCGATTCAGCAAGAGGACATAGTTAATTGTAAATATAGATTCACCCAATACTGGTCCACCCAGATATAAAAGCAAATAAATATTATTAGAGCAAAAGAGAGAGCCAAATAACAATACAATAATAGCTGGGGACGTCAACACTCCACTTTCAGCATTGGACAGATCATTCAGACAGAAAATTAACAAGGAAATATCAGACTAAATCTGCACTATAGAAAAAAATGAACTTAATAGCTATTTAGATAACATTTCATTCCATGTCTATAGATATAAATTCTTCTGAGCACAGGGATCATTCTCAAAAATAGAACACATATTAAGCAGTAAAACAAGTTTTAAAATATTTAAAACTTTGAGATTATACCAAGTATCTTCTCTGACTACAATGGAATAAAACTAGGAATCAGTAATAAGAGGAATTTTGAAAACTATAAAAACACATGGAAATTAAACAACGTGTTCTTGACTTACCAGTGTGTCAATAAAGAAATTTCGAATAAAATTTAGAAACTTCTTCAAACAAATGACAATGAAAACACAATATATCAAAAGCTATGAGACACAGCAAAAGCAGTACTAACAGGAAATACTATAGCTATAAGTGCCTATTACTCTTTGATAAAAAGTAAAAATACTTCAAATAGCCAACATAACAATAATTATTAAAAAAACAAGAGCAAAACAAGTCCAAAATTAGTAGAAGAAAAGAAATAATGAAGATCAGAGCAGAAATAAATGAAATGGGAACAAAGAAAACAATACATAAGGTCAACGATACATAAAATTGGGTTTTTGAAAAGATAAATAAAATTGACAAACATTTATTCAGACTCAGAAAAAAAAGAGAATACCCAATAAATAAAACCAGAGATGAAAAAAGAGATATTACAACTGATAATACAGAAATGCAAAGAATGACCCTTTCATCTCTGATTTTATTTATTTGAGTATTGTCTCATTTTCTCTTAGGAAGTCTGGCTAAAGGATTGTCAATTATTTTTGTCTTTTCAAAAAACCAACTTTTCCATTTTGTTGATCTTTTATATTATTTTCTTAATTTCAAATTTATCTATATCTGCACCGATTGTTATTCTTTGTTTTCTTCTACTAATTTTGGCTTTGGTTTGCTTTTGCTTTTCTACTTCTTTAAGATGCATCATTGAGTTATTTATTTGAAGTTTTTTTCTTTTTTGATGTAGGCACTTATAGCTATAGACTTCCCTCTTAGTACTGCTTTTGCTGTATCCTGCAGGTTTTGGTATGTTGTGTTTCCATTATCATTTGTTCAAGAATTTTTTCATTTTCCTTCTTAATTTATTCATTGATCCACAGGTCATTCAGGAGCATATTGTTCAATTTCCGTGTATTTGCATAGCTTCAATAATTCCTCTTGTTATTGATCACTAGTTTTATTCCACTGTGGTCAGAGAGAATGCTTGATATTATTTCAATTCTTTTGAATGTTTTAAGACTTGTTTTGTGACCTAATTTATGGTCTCTCATTGAGATTGATCCATGTGCTGAGTAAAAGAATGTGTATTCTGCAGCTGTTGGATGAAATGTACTCTAAATACCTATTAGATCCACTTGGTCTATAGTGCAGGTTAAAAGTCTGATGTTTCTTGGTTTATTTTCTGTCTGGAAGATCTGTCCAATTATGAGTGGGGCATTGAAGTATCCAGCTATGATTGTATTGGGGTCTATCTCTCTCTTTAGCTCTAATAATATTTGCTTTATATATCTGGGTGGACCAGTATTGGGTAAATCTATATTTAAAATTACTATATCCTCTTGCTGAATTGACCCCTTTATCATTATGTAGTAACCTTCTTTGTCTCTTCTTATAAGTTTTGTCTTGAAATCTATTTTGTCTGATAAAAGTATAGGTATTCCTGATCTTTTTTGGTTTCCATTGACATGGAATATCTTTTACCATCCCTTTATTTTCAGTCCATATGTGTCTTTATAGGTGAGGTATATTTCTTGTAGGTAACAGATCTCTTGGTCTTTAAAAATCCATTCAGCCAGTCCATGTCTTTTGATTGGAGAGTTTAGTACATTTACATTCAATGTTATTGATAAATAAGGACTTCCTCCTGCCTTTTTGTTATTTGTTTTCTGGTTGTTTTGTGGTCTTCTCTCTTTTCTTTTCCTTCTTGTCCTTCTTTTGTGAAGGTGATTTTCTTTGGTGATTTAGTTTCTTGGTTTTTTTTTTTTTTTTTTTTTTTGTCTCCATTGTATGTTTTGTGGTTTCGTGTTACCATAAGGCTCACAAATAGAATCAAGCTGATAACAATGTATAAACAAAGAAACTGATAAGCAAAAAGAAAGCTAACAAAAACTACTTCTTAACTTCACCCTCTGTTTTTTAACTTTTTTGTTTCTATTTATATCTTATTGTATTGTCTATGTCTTGAAAGCTGTTGTAGTTATTATTTCTGATTAGTTCATTGTTTAGTCTTTCTACTTAGAATAAGTAAAGTTAACACAGCACAGTTATAATATTCTGTGTCTTTCTGTGTGCTTACTATTACCAGTGAGTTGTGTACCTTCAGGTGACCACTTATTACTTATTAACATCCTTTTCTTTCTAATTGAAGTACTCCCTCTAGCATTTCTTGTAGGATAGATCCGGTGTTGATGAAATTCCTCAGCTTTTGTTTGGGAAAGTCTTAATTTCTCCTTCATGCTTGAAGAATATTTTGCCAGATATGTACTATTCTAGGGTAAAATTTTTTGTTTTTTTTTTCCCCTCCAGTACCTTAATTATGTCATGCCCCTCTCTGTTGGCCTGTTTCCATTATGTTATGTCCCTCTTTACTGGCCTGTTTCCACTGAAAGGTCTGCTGCCATATATATTCTAATTCCACTGAATATTATTCATTTCTTTTTTCTTGCTGCTTTTAGGATTCTTTCTTTATCCTTAATCTTTGGGAGTTTGACTATTAAATGCCTTGAGGTAGTCTTCTTTGGGTTAAATCTGCTTGCTGTTCTATAACTCTTTTGTACTTGGATATTGCTATATCTCCTAGGTTTGGAAAGTTCTCATTATTATCCCTTTGAATAAACTTTCTACCCCTATCTCTTTCTCTACCTCTTCTTTAAGGCCAATAACTCTTAGATTTGCCCTTTTGAAGCTATTTTTAGATCCTGTAGGTGTACCTCATTGTTTTTTATTCTTTTTTTTTTTTTTGACTCCTCTGACTGTATTTTCAAATAGCCTGTCTTCAAGGTCACTATTTGCTTTTCTGCTTAATCAATGCTGCTATTAAAAGACTGATGCATTCTTCAGTATGCCAATTGCATTTATCAACTCCAGAATTTCTCCTTTTAAATTATTTCAATCTCTTTGCTAAATTCATCTGATAGAATTCCGAATTCCTTCTCATGTTATTTTGAATCTCTTTGAGTTTCCTCAACACTGCTATTTTGAATTCTTTGTCTGAAAGGTCACCTATCTCCTTTTCTCCAGGATTGGTCCCTAGTGCCTTATTTAGTTCATTTGGTAAGGTCGTGTTTTCCTGGAATGTCTTGATACTTGTAGATGTTTGTCTGTTTCTAGGTATTGAAGAGTTAGGTATTTATTTTAGTCTTCACTGTCTCAGCTTGTTTGTACCCATCCTTCTTGGGAAGCCTTTCAGATTTTTGAAAGGACTTGGGAGTTGTGATCTAAGCTGTATCTGCTTTAGGGGGCACCCAAAGCCCGGTAATAATATGGTTTTTGCAGACTCATACAGGTACTACTGTGATGGTCTTAGACAAGATGTGAGAGAATTTTCTGGATTACCAGGCAGAGACTCTTGTTCTCTTGCCTTACTTTCTCCCAAACAAATGGAATATCTCTCTGTTCAGAGTCACCAGAACCTGGGGGTGAAGTAACACAAGCACCCCATGGCCACCACAACTATGACTGCACTGGGTCAGACCTGAAGCCAGCACAGCACTGGGTCTGGCCCCAGGCTTGCTGTAACAACTCCCTGGCTATTTCCTATGTTCACTGGGGCTCAACAATAAGTCAGTGGCAAAGTCAGTCTTCCTTTCAGCATGGTGAATCCTCTGATTTCCTGGGTGGGTCCAAGGGTGCTTTCTGGGAGCCAGGGAGTAGGGTCAAAAACCTTAGAAGTCTATCTGGTGTTCTATTTTACTGCTGGCACTCAGATAACAAAATGCAGTCCCTCCTACTCTTACTTCCCCTTTACAAAGGCAGAGGAGCCTGACCCCATAGCCCTGCAAGCACAGTGAGTATTGCCAGACTACTGCTGATGTTCCCTTAAGGCCCAAGGTCTCTTAAGTCAGTTTGTGGTGAATGCTGCCTGGCCTGGGACTCACCCTTCAGGGCAGTGGGCTCCCCTGTGGCCCAAGGCAGGTCAAGAAATGCTGTCCAAGAGCCAAATTCTGGAATCAGAGATCCCAAGAGCCTGCTTTGTGCTCTACTCCCCCGTGGCCGAGCTGGTACCTAAGGTGCAAGACAAAGTTCCCTTTACTTTTCCCTCTGCTTTTCTCAAGTAGGAGTCTCACCCCATAGTCACCACAGCTGGTAATGTGCTGAGTCTCAAGTGAAGCTAGCAAGTCTCAAAGGCTCACCCAAGGCCCTCAGCGTAGTACCTGGGTATAACTGCTGGTTATTCAGAGCCTAAGGGTTCCTCAGTTATCAAGTGATGAATCTTACGAGAACTGGGATTTTTGCTTCAAGGAAGCACGTTCTCTTTTGGCCCACAGCACGTCTAGAAATGTATGGGAGTGAGGACCTGGAAAGAGGGCCTCACAACTCTGACGAGTGCCCTATCCTACTGTGGCTGAGCTGGTATCCAAGACACAAGACAGTGTCCTTCCCACTCTTCTCTCTCCTTTCCTTAACTGGAAGGAAGAGGTCTCTTTTGGAGCCATGGACTGCGCAGCCTGGGGCTAGGGGAGGAATATTCCAGCACTCTCTTAGCCACCCCAGCTGGTGTCTCAGTAGGTTATGTGTTGTCCGCAGACTCCTGGTTCTGGGCCCAGGTGAGTACTAGGACTCTCACCTAAAATGCTGTCCTTGTGGCCTAGACTGTCTTTCAAGTTCATTTAGCTCCCCATAGCAATTTAGCTTTAGGTTTGCTAGAACTCGAGTTCTGACCACTGGGATCAATGATTCCCCTCTGGCTAGGGCTGATTTAAATGCTGTCTCCATGGTTGGACCTCAGCTGAGTTTGGTACAGTTTTCCTGTCTGCTATAACAAGACAGCATTGAGTCTAATGTCTCACGATTGCTGGCTCTCCCTCTTCCCAAGACACAGAAATGCCCACCACATCATGCTGTGGCTGTTGGGGGGTGGGAGAGTTGTGGGGATGGGATGGGGGAGGAAGGGTGGCATCAACAATTCAAGACTGTGTTTTCTACTTCTTCAGTTCCTCTTTCAGAGATAGGAAGTTAAAACTGGGAACTTTGAGTGCTCACCTGATTTTTGGTTCCTATGAAGGTGCTTTTCTTGTGTAGATAGTTATTAAATTGGTGTCCTTGTTGGGGGGATGGCTGGTGGAGCCTTCTATTCTGCTATCTTGCTCCACCTTCCCTTTCTCCTCTTAATATTATCACATAAGTACTTTTTAGTTCTATCATAATCTCTTAATGGGCATAATTTTAGTGGATAATTGAACCACCCTTCTAGTGTTGGATACATAAGTTTTCTAGTTTTTTACCATTATGAATAATGTTACAATAAATGTATATGAACATAAACATTTTCTCTAGTTCAGGTTATTTTTTTTAGCTTCTATTTCTTCACATGATGTTATGTCAATGCATAAACATTTTTAAGTTGATAGGTGTAATATATTGCTGTAATTTTTCTTGTATTTTGACAAGGGAGGGCACTTTTTTCACCTGAAACCAAGCTTTATCTAAATCTCATTTTAAATGGCCCTCCTCAACTGAGAAAAAAGCGTTTTATATCAACTACATTGGAAAATCTGGTGTGAAATGTAGTAAATTGCCCTCATCCAAGGGAATCACTATATAGTTAAAACAAAACAAAACAATGTGCAACTATTGTAGAGCTCACAGAATGCATACCTGAGAAGCTCTTTGAAGTAATCCAGAGCCTGAAACATGTAAAATATTATCGGGATGTGTTATTTTTATGGTGGCTGTTACTGAGGAAACAGAGGCAATGCCTTGTGAAATTTGGGTTTGCTAGGACAGAGAAAGGTTGTGTAGTGCCATTTCTGTTTCCTGGTCCCCAGGACAACCAAAATTCATGGCTAGACTCACATCATCAGCCAGGGTAGGATCAGCCCTGACCCCAGCTTTGGGTTCTGTCTTGTTCTGTTAAAATGTCTAAGTACAGGTGATTCCAAAGTACCTCAGCAGCTTGACTCAGTCTAGCTGAGTCAAAGACAGCCTAGCTAGTTGTCTTTAATGGTCTTAGAGGCCTGGAGAAGCAGACAAGAAGCGCTACTTAAAAACAGAAACACAGAAGGATAAACAGACCAGGCTGAAGGACACTTGGCAGATTCAAATAGGAACAAGTAGTCTGCATTAAAAATATTCACCTCTCTTAAAACTAATAAATGAATTTAGCAAGGTTGAGGCATGCAAAACCAATGTAGAAAAATCACTTACATTTCTACACACTAACAACAAATAATCCCTTCCAAAAATTAAAAAATCGCATTTGCAATAGCATTAGAAAAATAAAATACTTGGGCACAAAATTAACCAAGGAGATATAAGACTTGTACACTGAAAAACCTTGCTGAAAGAAATTAAAGAAGAGACAAAGAAATGACAAGACGTCTCATGTTTCACGGATTGGAAGACAGTATTGTTAAGATGTCTATACTACCTCTCTTAGTCCATTTGGCTACTATAACAAAATACCTTACACTGGGTAAATTATAAACAACAAAAATTTAGTGCTCACAGTTTTAGAGGCTGGGAACCAAGATCAAGGTGCCAGCAGATTTGGTGTCTGGTGAGGGCCCACTATTCAGAAATGGCAACTTGTTGCTGTGTCCTTGCATGGTCGAAGGGACAAGGAAGCTCCCTCAAGCCTTGCTTATGAGGGTCCATGAGGAAGGAGCCCTTGTGACTCCATAACTTCCCAAAGCCCTTACCTCTTAATATTATCACATTGGGTACTGTATTAGTCCATTTTCACGTTGCTGATAAAGACATACCTAAGACTGGGCAATTTACAAAAGAAAGAGGTTTAATGGACTTACAGTTCCACATGGTTGGGGAGGCCTCATGATCATGGTGGAAGGCAAGGAGGAGCAAGTCACATCTTACCTGGATGGCAGAAGGCAAAAAGAGAGAACTTGTGCAGGGGACCTCGTCTTTTTAAAACCATAAGATCTCATAAGACTTATTCATAATCACAAGAACAACATGAGAAAGATCTGCCCTCATGATTCAATTACCTCCCACCAGGTCCCTCCCACAATATGCTGGAATTCAACATGAGATTTTGGCAGGGACGCAGCCAAACCATATCATTCCACCCCGGCCCCTCCCAATCTCATGTCTTCACATTTCAAAACCAATCATGTCTTCCCAACAGTCCTCCAATGTCTAAACTTATTTCAGCATTAACTCAAAAATCCACCGTCCAAAGTTTTATCTGAGACAAAGCAAGTCCCTTCTGCCTATGACCCTGTAAAATCAAAGCAAGTTACTTCCTAGATACAATGGGGGTACACTCATTGGGTAAATACAGCCATTCCAAATGGGAGAAATTGGATAAAACAAAGGGGCTACAGGCCCCATGCAAGTCTGAAATCCAGCAGGGCAGTCAAATCTTAAATGTCCCAAATGATCTCCTTTGACTCCATGTCTCACATCCAGGTCATGCTGATGCAAGAGGTGTGTTCCTATGGTCTTGGGCAGCTCCACCCCTGTGGCTTTGCAGGGTACAGCCTCCCTACTGGCTGCTTTCACAGGCTGGCATTGAGTATCTGTGACTTTTCCATGTGCCCAGTGCAAGCTGTCAGTGGATCTACCATTCTAGGTTCTGAAGGACAGAGGCCTTCTTCTCACAATTCCACTAGGTGGTGCCCCAGTAGGGACTCTGTGTGAGAGCTCACACCCAACATTTCCTTTCTGCATTGTCCTAGCAGAGGTTCTCCATGAGAGCCCCACCCCTGCAGCAAACTTCTGCCTGGACATCCAGGTGTTTCCATATATCCCCTGAAATCTAGGCAGAGGTTCCCAAACCTCAATTCTTGCCTTCTGTGTACCTGCAGGCTCAACACCACTTGGAAGCTGCCAAGGCTTGGGGCTTGCACCCTCTGAAACCATGGCCAAAGCTGTACCTTGGCCCCTCTTAGTCATGGCTGGAGCATCTGGGACACGGGTCACCAAGTCCCTAGACTGAACACAGCATAAGGACCCTGGACCTGGCCCATGAAACCATGTTTCCCTCCTAGGCCTCTGGGACTGTGATGAGAGGGGCTGTTGTGAAAACCTCTGACATGCCCTGGAGACATTTTCTTATTGTCTTGGGGATTAACATTTGGATCCTCATTACTTATGCAAATTTCTGCAGCCAGTTTGAATTTCTCCTCAGAAAATGGGATTTTCTTTTTGATCACATTGTCAGGCTGCAAATTTTCCAAACTTTTATGCTCTGCTTCCCTTATAAAACTGAATGCCTTTAACAGCACCCAAGTCACATCTTGAATGCTTTGCTGCTTAGAAATTTCTTCTGCCAGATACCTTAAATCATGTCTCTCAATTTCAAAGTTCCACAAATCTCTAGGGCAGGAGCAAAATGCTGCCAGTCTCTTTGCTAAAACATAACAAGGGTCACTTTTGCTCCAGCTCCCAACAAGTTCCTCATTTCCATCTGAGGCCACATCAGCCTGTACTTTATTGTCCATATCGCTATCAGCATTTTGGGCAAAGCTATTCAACAAGTCTCTAGGAAGTTCCAAACTTTTCCACATTTTCCTGTCTTCTTCTGAGCCCTCCAAACTGTTCCAACCTCTGCCTGTTACCTAGTTCCAAAGTTGCTTCTACATTTTCAAGTATCTTTTCAGTAGCGCTCAACTCTTGGTACCAATTTACTATATTAGTCCATTTTCATGCTGCTCATAAAGACATACCCATGACTGGGCAATTTACAAAAGAAAGAGGTTTAATGGACTTACAGTTCTACATGGTTGGGGAGGCCTCATAATCATGGCAGAAGGCAAGGAGCGGCAAGACACATCTTACATGGATGATAGGAGGCAAAAAGAGCAAACTTGTGCAGGGTAACTCCTCTTTTGAAAACCATCAGATCTCATGAGATTTATTCAGTATCATGAGAATGGCACAGGAAAGACCTGCCCCCATGATTCAATTACTTCCCACCAGGTCCCTCCTGCAACACGTGGGAATTCAAGATAAGATTTGGGTGGGGACGCAGCCAAACTATATCAGGTATTAAGTCCTAACATATAAATTTGGTGGGGGGGCACCAACATTAAGACAACAGCATTACCCAAAGCAATCTCTTGATTCAATGCTATCCCTATCAAATCCAAAGGGCATTTTTGCAGAAATAAATATAACCATCCTAAAATTCATATGAAACCACAATGGACCCTGAATACCTAAAACAATCTTGAGCAAGATGAACAAAGCTGGAGCCCTCACACTTGCTGAGTTCAAAACACATTACAAAGCTGCACTAGTCAAAACAAAACAATACTTAGATAAAGAAAAGCATATAAAACAATGGAACAGAATAGAATACCCAGAAATAAACCCATGCATACACAGCCAACTAATTTTTAGCAAGGGTGCCAAACTACATAATGGGGAAAGGATAGTCTTTTCAATAAATGGTGCTAGGAAAACTGAATATCTACATACAGAAGAATGAAACTGGACCCTTATCTATACAAAAATCAACTCCAAATGGATAAAGAGCTAAACATAACACCTGAAGCTGTAAAACTATTAGAAGAAAACATAAGGTTAAATCTTCATAACATTGGTCTTGGCAATAATTTATTGGATATGACAACAAAAGCACAGGCATCAACAGCAAAAATAGGCAGGTGGGACTACATTAAACTAAAGACCATGCACAGCAAAGGAAAAAATCAGCAGAGTAAAAATACAACCTACAGAATGGGAGAGAATATTTGAAAACCATCTTTTTGATAAGGGGTTAATATCCAAAATACACAAGTCCTATGACTCAATAATAACAAAATAATAATCCAATTAAACAATAGGCAAAGGACTTGATTAGACATTTCTCCACAGAATACATACAAATAGCTGATAGGTATATAACCTGTTCTATAACTCAATAGCAATAAAAAAAATTAAGCAACAGGCAAATGACTTGATTAGGCGTTTCTCCAAAGAAGACACACAAATGGCCAGCACGAAAATATGAAATTATTTTCAGCATCACTAATTATCAAAGAAATGTAATTCAAAACCACAATGAGATATCACCTCATACCTTTTAGGATGGCCATTATTTAAAAAAATATTTTTAAGCCCTGAAAATAATAAGTTTTGGTAAAAATGTGAAGAAATTGGAACCCTTGTGCACTATGGTGGGAATGTAAAATAGTGCATCCATTATGGCAAACACTATGGAGTTTCCTCAAAATGTTAAAAATAGAACTACTATATGATTCAGCAATCTCATTCTTGGGTTTTTAGCCAAAACAATTGAAAATAGGATCTTGAAGAGATATTTATACTCACATGTTCATTGCAGCATTATTCACAATAGTCAAGAGGTGGAAGCAACATAAATGTCCATCAGTGAATGAATGGATAAAGAAAATATGGTATGTACATATAATTGAATATTATTCAGCCTTAAAAAGAAGGAAGTCCTATCATGTTCTACATCATGGATGAATCTTGAGGAGATCATGCAAAGTGAAATTAGTTAGTCACAGAAGGACAAATGCTGCATGATTCAAGTTATATGAGGTATTTAAAGTAGATAAACTCATAGAAGCAGAAAGTAAAACAGTGATTGTCAGGAGCTGTTGGCGAGATGGGGAATTATTGTCAATGGGTAGAGTTTAGTCACACAAGATGAAAAAGTTCTAGAGATCTACGGGACAGCAATATGCATGTAGTTAACAGTACTGTACTGTGCACTTAAAAATTTAAGAAGGTAGATCTCATATTATGTGATTTTTGCCACAATAAAAAATACCTCTCAACACTGTAGAACCAAGTTAACAAAATTGTTTATAGAAGAATTTCATACAGATATATTGGCTTAACATCTTTATTGATGTAAATAAAAAGGGGATAATACAATACAATATTGTTCTCCCACCACAGAACAAAGCCAGCTCACACTGATTGAACGTCTACTGCTATCTTGTTTATAAGTTGTCTTATTTAGTTCTCTAAAGGAATCCTGCAAAATCAATATTATTCATGCATTTATTGATTCATTTAACGTATGCTTTTTGAGTCTTTGCTATTTACCTGTCACTGTTTAAGGCACTGGAAATACAGCAGTGTACAAGACAAACAACTTGACTTCATGAAGCTTACATTCTGGTGAAGGAGACAGAAAGTAAATAGCTACACAATTTGTATAAATAGATATAAAAGTATGATATAATATAAAGTAATATATATAATGTGATACAACATAATGTTAAATGATTGAAAATGTTATGACAAATTATAAAACAGGGTGATAAAATAGAATCACGAGCTATTTTTGAGAGAAAGGTCAGGGAAGGCTACTCTGAGGAGATAGCATTTGCATAGATCTCAATTAAGTAAAAGAAGAAGCTGTAAAATATCTGAGGAAAGAGCATTTCTGGCAGAGAGAACAGCAAAGCAAATGCCAAGAAGTAGGAGCATATTTGATATACTTAAATAATGGTGAGGACGCCAGTGTGGCTGAAGTCCAGAAGGGGAAAGAAAACATCAGAGAAGCAGAGGCTTCATTTTTCATCTAGCCCAGTGGCCAAGCTAGTGCTGCAGCAGGTTGGCCAACTCCAAAACCCATGCCCATTCTATTACACTAAATCATCTGTTCCAAGAAACTATTCAATCTTCATTGAGGATGAAACAAAAACACTGAAAATCATGTTTCTGGAAGTATTTCAGATAGCTATGTTGTCCTCCCACCCCCATTTTTTCACCCTGCCCAAGGAAAAAAAGGACAAAGACTTGAGGCGTATGTATGACTATTTCCTATTGTTGTGTTATCAATAACAATTTTATTATTATTGTTAAGGGGACTTTATGATTAATAATATAAATGTAGCTTTAATTTCCAAATAATAATAATAATAATGAAGAACCAATACCCCTTTTGACTTTAAATTTACTTCTTAATAAAAACCAAGGGTATTTTCTATCCTTATTTCTGGTATCCTGATACTGAGTGAAGGACACCCTTAGCCTAGTCATGTATAATCCACTATCTTCAACAAAGACTGAAACAGAAATTATCTCCAAATTTTAGATTTTCAAAGGGTTAGAAACATGCATCAAAAAATCACATGTACCCCCAAATTATGTACAACTATGGTATAACCGTTAAAAATTAATTAATTAATTTAAAAAAGAAAGAATTAGGAAAAGGTGACACCCACTAGCTAGTGCTTTTTTACTGCTATAAAGTTGATGAGAATGTTTTGCTGTCTTCTTTGAGACTCATTATTCACACACAATAAAATGCCATCTGGAGTTAAGAGCAAGGTTTTTAACATTCCTTAACCACCTCAAGATGTATATTAATAAAAATAGCATATTTATATTGATTTTAAAGGTTCCATATACATTATTGCATTTACATCATAAATATACTAATGTATTGATGTAAATTCCTTGATATCTCCTGAGAGGACTATTGAAGACTAAATTTTTGAAGAAACAGATTAGAAAATTAATTTTTATGACCAATAGTAGATTTCCACTTTTTAAAAGAAATATTTGAACAAAACTCAGGATCTAAGATAAATAGTGTAAAACTAACCAAGTTATATATTTTGTGTCGTTGGTGATCAATGCTGAGAAAAATAATTTAAAAATATTTGTGTATTCAAGACACATCAAGATAGCTAAAGACTTTTACAATATGTAGATTGCCTTAATGAATTTTACAATATGTAGATTCCTTTTACAATATGTAGATTTCCTTAATGAAAACTAGAAAACACAATTCTCTTGGTGAGAAAACCAGCAAAATTCCATTTCCTGCTTTTCCATACATTTTTGGCAAGAAGGCTTTACTTTTTACAAATATAGTGTTGACACCAATATGAGAAACTACTTTTGCAATATATATTAGTCCATTATCACATAGAAATATTTTTATATGATTTTTTTTTCATTTTTAGAATTTTTAATTTAAAAAAAACTTCTTTTGTGGATACATATTAGGTGTATGCATTTATGCGGTACATGAGATATTTTGATACAAGCATGCAATATGAAATAAGTGCATCATGGTGAATGGGGTGTCCATTCCCTCAAGCATTTATCCTTTGAGTTACAAACAATTCAATTATATTATTTCAGTTATTTTAGAACACACAATTAAGTTATTATTGGCTATAGTTGCCCTATTGTGTAATCAAATAATAGGTCTTATTCATTCTTTCTATTTTTTGTATGCATTAACCATGCCCACCTTCCCCCACTACCCTTCCCACCTTCTCATAACCATCCTTCTATTCTCTATGAGTTCAATTGATTTGATTTTTAGATCCTCAAAAATAAGCTAATGTTATAGTTGTGTATTTTCTGTACAAATTCTAGTCCATCAGTGTCAGTCAACTGTTTTTAGCTTCTTTATAAGAAACCTATCATTAAAACTCATAGTAATGCAGCAAGTTATAAGGGGACCACACAAAGACAGTTTATAATCTTGAAATTACAAATGATGAAACTAGAGGCAATGCTACTTTAAAAGATGCTTATATGGCTGGAACAGAAAACAATTTTCCTGGTGAGAAAACCAGCAAAATTCCATTTCATGCTTTTCCATACATTTTTGGCAAGAAGGCTTTACTTTTTACAAATATAGTGTTGACACCAATATAAGAAACTACCTTTGCCATATATACTAGTCCATTATCACAATGCTATAAAGAAATACCTGAGATTGGGTAATTTATAAAGAGAAGAGGTTTGATTGGCTCATGGTTCTGCCGGCTACACAAGAAGCATGATGCTAACATATGCTTCGCTTCTGGGTAGGCCCCAGGAAGCTTACAGTCATGGCACAAAATGAAATGGGAGCAAGCATGTCACATGGCCAGAGCAGGAGCAAGAGGAGGGAGAAAATACCTTACACTTTTAAATGACTAGATCTCATGAGAACTCACTCATTATTGTGAGGACAGTACAAGGGCATGGTACTGTCATTCATGAGAAATCTGCCTCCACGATCCAATCACCTCCCACCAGGCCTCATCTGCAACACTGGGGATCACAATTCAACATGAGATTTAGCTGGGGACACAGATCCAAACCATATCACCACATGAATGTAAAAATTGTATTTTACTATAGTAAGTCTCTTAATTATTAAAAACAATTGAAAAATAAAAACAAAAGAGTTCATTGTGTTAAGGTATGTGTATATGTTTTGGAAATAAAATGATAAACACATTTTAAAACCTTGTATCTATTATGGTGAGCATAACATAACCAAAAAGAACTATCTGAAAAAATGGCCTAGCCTACTTCATTGGTAAAAATTCTTAAACTCCTCTGTTACAATATTATTTAAAACTAAATTGAATGCAATAAGTGAATTTACTATCATAAAATTGTGAATATATTTGTTGAAAGCAGTCAAGTTTGTAAAATCTACACTTTACACTTAACTCAGTTCTCAATTAAAGTTTCACACGATAGTATCTGATTGGTGGAGCATGAATCACATTCCAAATCTTGGCTGCAAGGGAGTTTTTCAGTCTTTGAAGTACAGAAACCCACACTAGAAAAAAGCTGGAATGGAAGAGTAAGCCACTCCTTAGCATCTCCTACAGTACACAATCAAGCTCAAGCAGTTGCTGAAAGCTTTTCTTTGGCATCTAAAAGACTGGGAGAAGCACAACTTCAAATTGAGGCTTATAATTAACGGAAGGCACCATAAATTGAAGGAAAAGTGTTGACTATGAATCTCAAAAGAAGTAGTATAAAAATCATTTCCTTAAAGATATTAAATATAAGGATCTTCATGAATGCTATTTCTCTAAACAGTGAAGTTTCTCCATCCATTTGTTTTTATCAGCTTTATTGAGGTATACTTAACAAAGAAAAATTATGTATATATATATATTTAAGTTGTACACATGATTTTAAATTATTTACTTTTTAAATTGACAAACAAAAATTTTATATATTTATGGTGTACAACATGATGCTTTGATCTATGTACACATTGTGGAATAGCCAAATTAAGATAATTAACATATCCATTACCTCACATATTTATTTGCTGTGAGAACTCTCTTATCAATTTTCAAAAATGTAATACCTCATTTTTAACTATAGTCATTATGTTGTACAACAGATCTCTTGAAGTTATTCCTCCTTTCTAATTGAAATTTTGTATCCTATGACCAATATCTTCCCAACCTCCCCCACCCCAGCCCTTGGTAACCACCATTCTACTCTTTGCTTCTATGGATTTGACTGTTTTAGATTCCACATATAAGTAAGATCATGCAGTATTTGTCTTTCCATGCCTGGCTTATCTCACGTAGCATAATGTCCTCCATGTTCACACAGGCTGTCACAAATGACAGGATTTTCTTCTTTATAAATGCTGAATAATATTCCATTGTTTATGTATGCAGCATATTTTCTTTATCTATCCATTCATTCATTGATGAGCACTTAGTTTGAGTCTATATCTTGGCTATTGTCAGTAGTGCTGCAACGAACATGGAGGTGCTAATATATCTCTTTGACATAGTGTTTTCTTTGGATAAGTAACCCGTAGTGGGATTGCTGAATCATATGGTGGTTCCATTTTTTGTTTTTAGGAACCACCACACTGTTCTCCATAATGGCAGTGGCTGTAATAATTTACATTCCTAACAACAGTGTGCAAGGGTTTCCTTTTCTCCATGTCCTTTCCAGTACTTTTTATCTTTCATGTTCTTGAAAATAGCCATTTTACTAGGTATGAAATGATATCTCATTGTGCTTTTAATTCGTGTTTTCCTAATATTACTGATGTTGAGCACCATGTAAGCTTGTACTTTCCTCCTCTTAGATACTTCCTTGAGGCCAACATGTAAGAAAAGCAATTTAGCCTACTGGAAGATGAGCACCCATGTGGAGGGTGAGAAGCCAGCACCAACCACCAGACATATGACTGAGGCCATCTCAGACCCTACAGCTAAACGCCATTTCAGGAGTTAGCCCAAGCAAGACCAGCAGGACCACTCAACAGGTTCATGAGAGATAATGGATCAATGTTGTTTTATACTAAAAATTTTAAAAAATATTTTCATTACTTGCCCTCTTCATTTGCATTTAGGATAAGGTCCATGCTTATTAATCTGGTTTCTAAGATTCATCTCGACATGATTCCTTATAATATGGATCCCAAAATTCTTTACTAGGAGTCTGGATTCTATCTATGATCATTGGAAATGCTTGCTCATTTTCCTTAAGGAAGAACTGGAAAACATGAAAACCTATTTAGGCTGCTGTTATCACTTGTGTAATTACAAAATTTAACAGCTGCCAGTGTGCAAACCAGCTGCCAATGTGCAGAATCTGAAAAAGGGATCCTATCACACACAGAATGTATTTAACTGGAAAATTAGCAAAGAACTGTGGTGGCAGTATTCATAGTTATATCCATAGCCAGAATCCATGCCTGCTATAACAAACCACACACACACACACACACACACACACACACACACACACACACACAGAGAGAGAGAGAGAGAGAGAGAGAGAGAGAGAGAGAGAGAGAGAGAGATTTTATTTTTCCACATAGAGAGTTTTCTTTCCCAGTGAATTGATTTTTGTTTAAAGATTTTCTCAGAAAATATCCCTAACCTAACTTCTTGGAAAACAGATCACAACGTAAAAGTTCTGTAACTGCCATTCTCCAGCCCCATAAAACTTTTTAAACATCCTTTTGGACGTTTCCTTGCTGAGCTTTCCTTTTTATATTGTATCAAAGTATGTCCCATCTGAAAAGGAAGAGAAGAGATGCCCTGAAGAACAGCCAAAGTTCTCATGGGTTGTTGAATAATACTGCCTTCTCCTGTTTCTTCTCACACAGTTAAGTTCATATACAGATCAGTTAAGTTCATATCCAGATGTATGATAGCTTTAAACTACTTATTGCTTTGGGGCTATTGGTGGCAATAGTTTATTGAATGATGGGGGAATTGGAAATAAATACTGTAACATGGATTCTCTCAAATTTGCCTCTCTCTCTCTTCTTAGTAATCAGGACCCATCACAAAATTTGGAGATTTTTCAGAAGATGGATTCATATGGAAAAGCCTGAGGAATGAATAAAGTGTTTTATCTTCCCTATGGTGTTTTTGTTTGTTTCCCCAGCTTTATCTCTAGCCACTCCTTCCTGCAATCCTTGTTTTAGCTTATCTGAATTTATAGTCCACCTACTGCATTTCACTCTGTTGCTTCTTATGTGACCTCAAGAGAAGTGTCCTGAATTGGACCAAGACAGCTTGTAGCCATAGACAAAACCTCAACCTTGGTTTAAGTTCATCTTGCCACCTATTACATGACTGCGCCTCAGTTTCTGAACATAATTGGTAATAAGGTATAGTGGGCCCATTTTAAATTTATGACCATGAGCCACATGTGGACCTTCAGTGCTGCTGGACAGACTTACTACCCTTCCCTAAGGTCAAATAATTCTCCCATTGTCTAAGATTACTATATCATCCAATTGCTTCCTGCCTCAAAATTCCAACACCTTTTCCCTACTCCTCATTTAGCTGATGAGCTGACTTATTTCACTGAAAAATTGATCAGAAATAGTTCTAACTTCTATATCCTTCACTATCACATCTTCCACCCTCATCGCATTGGCACCCATATACTCTCCCTTCCCTCCAATTATAAAAGACCAACTGTCTGGTTCCTATGTAGGGCCAACTTCCCACTTTGTGTATTGTTACTCATACATTTCTCACAACCTCAAGAACAATGCTCTGTAATTATCCCTCTTTTCTCTGCAGCATCAATTTTACTATCATTCTCATCTGCATACAAACATGCTTTAATATCTCCAATCATGAAAATACTCCTTGTTTCAAAATTCCCACAACCAAAGTCTTTGAAAGTGTTGACTATAAAATCTTCACTTCTTTCCTTCCAACTATACCTTAAATCTACTGTAATGTGGCTTGTGTCATCAGCACTTCACTGAAATCTGCCTCATTAAGTCCCCTTCACATTGCCAAATTCAGTGTCAATCCTCAATTTTCATATTCCTGGAGCTCTCTGCATCATTCATTAAAGTTGATCATTCTCTTCATGAAATACTTTTTTCACTTGGCTTGTAGGACTGGTTTTTCTTCTTTGCTGGGTTACCCCTTTGGAGTCTCCTTTACTGTTGTTTTGTTGTTGTTGTTGTTGTTGTTGTTGTTGTTGTTCCATATTTCCATAGGTTGTAATGCCCTAGTATTAATCCTCAGACACCTAAACCTCTCTATCTACACTCTCTCCCTAGATGATTTCATTGCTCTAAATACAATTTATAAACTGATATCTCCCAGATGTCTTCAGTTTCAACCTTCCCCTGAACTCCAGTCTCATGTCTGCTACCTGATCTCGGATTTCTTATAGAGATCTCAAGTTTAACATTTCCAAAAATGAACCCTAGATTCCCCCCTCTCCCACAAAACTGCTCCTTCTTCAGTGTTTCCCATCTCAGTAAATGATGTCACTGCTTATACATTTGCTAAAGTCACAAAAGTTAGTCATCTCTTTCCTTCTCTTACATGCCACATCTAATCCATTAGCAAATATTATAGGTTCTGCTCTCATCTCACTACTTCCACCAGCACAGTCCAGGTCTCAGCCACCGTGATCTCTCACCTGGACTGTAGACATGAGACTGCAATAACCTCTTACTCTGTTTCCTCCCTTTCACTCTTACCCCTCTATAGTTCATTCTTCTAGAGTTTCCAGGATGACCCTTTTAAAAATATGTCAGTGTATGTCATTTCCATGTTGAATACCTTCCAGTGGTTTCCCATTGCACTTAAAATAGTATCTACACTCTTTATTGTGGCTTATGAATCCCTTCACTTTATGGTCTCTGGCTATTTATCCTACCTCATTTCCTGCTACTAGCTCTTTTTTTTTTCGTTAGCTCAAGCCACACACTGGCCTTCTGCTCTTGCTCTAGCACAAAAAACATGTTCCAACCTCAGATTTTTTGCACTTGGCAATCTGTCCTCTGTCATGGACTGTCTTCCCTAACATCTTGATAGTGCTCATTTCATTCAGGTCTCTGCTCAAATGTCACCTCCTAGTTGAGGTCTTTCTTGACCACTCTCACATGTCATCAACCACCATTCTATTCTCATGTGCTGATTAATTTCCTTTTCATAACATCACTAACATACTACACATCCATTATCAACTTTATTTTGTTCACTGCTATATCTCCAGCATCTAGAACAGTGATGTAACCTAGAAGGTACTCAACAAATATTATTGAATTAATAAGTCCATAACTTTCTGAACAATCTTGGGAAAGGTGACTGCCTGTTCTTATCTTAATAGATCCTGAACAGCCTGTGGAGAAAAGGTGGATAGAAACATCTGTTTTCTTTCAATACTATATCTATCAATCTATCTGTCTGTCTGTCTGTCTGTCTGTCTATCTATCTATCTATCTAATCTATCTATATCTATATATTTACTACATTTATTTCCTTAAGTCATAATGGAAAAAGTCTGGGCACGAGCAAGACTTCATTTACAAGGATCTTTGATTAAAATTTATACACAACCACATCTAGAATGCCTGGGCATTCTAAATTCCTACATTAAGGAGCAGTTTCTCTGATTCCCACTTGATACAACTCACTATCTGAATTAGTTTTGTGGATAGTCCTTTAAAACTTAATCTTAGAAGATGCAAGCACAGTTCATCCTTGACCAGCACAGGGAGGGGTCGGGGCACCAACCCTCTATATAGTCGAAATCTGCACATAACATTTTACTCTTTGAAAATTTAAGTATTAATAGCCCACCATTGATCAGAAGCCTCACTGAAAACATAAAAGTTGATTAACACAAGTTTGCATGTTGTATGTGTTAGATACTGCATTCTTACAATCAAGTAAGCCAAAGAAAAGAAAATGTTATGAAGAAAATAACATTTACAATTCAATAAGTAGAAGGAGATCATCATAAAAGTCTTTATCGTCATTGCCTTCATGTTGAATAGGCTGAGGAGTAGGAAGAGGAGGGGTTGATCTTGCTGTCTCAGGAGTGGCAGAGGCAAAAGAAAATCTACATATAAGTAGACACTTGCAGTTCAAGTCTATGTTGATCAAGTGTCAACTGTATTTCAAACAGTTCCTGATTTGGATTTTAGAACAGCAGTTTTGTCTTTATATGAAGGAATGTTTGACCTAATACCTGATAGTAAAGAAATTCTCACCAAAAAGCAAGAGATATTTTTAATTTTTTTTTTTTATTTTACTTTAAGTTCCCAGACACATGCCATGGTGGTTTGCTGCACACATCAAATCGTCATCTAAGTTTTAAGCCCCGCATGCATTAGGTATTTGTGCTAATGCACTCTCTCCTTGCACTCCACCCCCTGACAGGCCCCAGTGTGTGTTGTTCCTCTCCTTGTGTACATGTGTTCTATTTGTTCAACTCCCACTTATGAGTGAGAAGATATGGTGTTTAGTTTTCTGTTCCTGTGTTAGTTTGCTGAGAATCACGGCTTCCAGCTTCATCCATGTCCCTGCAAAGGACATGGTCTCATTCTTTTTTATAGCTGTATCGTATTCTATGGTGCATATGTGCCACATTTTCTTTATCCAATCTATCATTGATGGGCATTTTGGTTGATTCTAAGTCTTTGCTATTGTGAATAGTGCTGCAATAAACATACATGTGCATGTGTCTGCATAGTAGAATGATTTATAATCCTTTGGGTATATACCCAGTAATGGGATTGCTGGGTCAAATGGTATTTCTGGTTCTAGATCCTTGAGGAACTGCCACACTGTCTTCCACAATTGTTGAACTAATTTACACTCCCAGCAACAGTGTAAAAGGATTCCTATTTCTCCACATCCTTGCCAGCATCTATTGTTTCTTGACTTTTTAATAATCACCATTCTGACTGGCATGAGATGCTATCTCATTGTACTTTTGATTTGCATTTCTCTAATTATCAGTGATGATGAGCTTTTTTTCATATGTTTGTTGGCCACATAAGTGTCTTCTTGCAAGAAGTGTCAGTTCATATCCTTTGCCCACTTTTCGATGGGGTTGTTTGCTTTTTTCTTGTAAATTTGCTTAAGTTCCTTGTAGATTCTGGATATTAGACCTTTGTCAGATGGGTAGATAGCAAAAATTTTCTCCCATTCTATAGGTTGCCTGTTCACTCTGGTGCTTGTTTCTTTTGCTGTGCAGAAGCTCTTTAGTTTAATTAGATCCCATTTGTCAATTTTGGATTTTTTTGAAATTGCTTTTGGTGTTTTAGTCATGAAGTCTTTGCCTATGCCTATGTACTGAATGGTATTGCCTAGGTTTTCTTCTAGAGTTTTTATGGTTTTGGGTTTTACGTTTAATCCTTTAATCCATCTTGAGTTAATTTTTGTATAAGGTATAAGGAAGTGGTCCAGTTTCAGTTTTCTGCATATAGTTATCCAGTTTACCCTGTACCATTTATTAAAAAGGGAGTCCTTTCCCCACTGCTTGCTTTTGTCAGGTTTGTCAAAGATCAGATGGTTGTAGACATGTGGTGTTATTTATGAGGTCTTTGTTCTGTTCCATTGGTCTATATATCTGTTTTGGTACCAGTAGCATGCTGTTTTGGTTACTGTAGCAGCCTTGTAGTATAGTTTGAAGTCAGGTAGCATGATGCTTCCAGCTTTGTTCTTTTTGCTTTGAATTGCCTTGGCTATATGGGCTCTTTTTTGGTTCCATATGAAATTTAAAGTAATTTTTTCTAATTCTGTGAAGAAAGTCAATGGTAGCTTGATGGGAATAACATTGAATCTATAAATTACTTTGGGCAGTATGGCCATTTTCACAATATCAATTCTTCCTATCCATGAGCATGAAATGTTTTTCCATTTGTTTGTGTCCTCTCTTATTTACTTGAGCAGTGGTTTGTAGTTCTCCTTGAAGAGGTCCTTCACTTCCCTTTTAAGTTGTATTCTTAGGTATTTTATTCTCTTTGTAGCAATTGTGAATGGGAGTTCATTTATAATTTAGCTGTCTACTTGTCTATTGTTGGTATATAGGAATGCTTGTGATTTTTGCACATTGATTCTGTATCCTGAGACTGCTGAATTTGCTTATCAGCTTAAGGAGATTTTGGGCTGAGATGATGGGGATTTCTAAATGCACAATCATGTCATCTGGAAACAGAGACAATTTAACTTCCTCTCTTCCTATTTGAATACCTTTTATTGCTTTCTCTTGCCTGATTGCCCTGGCCAGAACTTCCAATACTATATTGAATAGGAGTGGTGAGAGAGGGCATCCTTGTCTTGTGCAGGTTTTCAAAAGGAATGCTTCCAGCTTTTACCCATTCAGTATGATATTGGCTACAGGGTTGTCATAAACAGCTCTTATTATTTTGAGATATGTTCCATCAATACCTAGTTTATTGAGAGGTTTTAACATGAAAGGATGTTGAATTTTATTGAAGGCCTTTTCTGCATTTATTGAGATAAACATGTGGTTTTTGTCATTGGTTCTGTTTATGTGATGGATTACGTTTATTGATTTGCGTATGTTGAGCCAGCCTTGCATCCCAGGGATGAAGCAGACTTGAATGTGGTGGATAAGCTTTTTGATTTGCTGCTGCGTTCAGTTTGCCAGTATTTTATTGAGGATTTTCGCATCAATGTTTATCAGGATTATTGGCCTGAAGTTTTATTTTTTGTTGTGTCTCTGCCAGGTTTTGGTACCAGGATGATGTTGGCATCATAAAATGAGTTAGGGAGGAGTCCCTCTTTTTCAATTGTTTGGAATAGTTTCAGAAGGAATGGTGCCAGCTCCTCTTTCTGGTAGAATTTGGCTGTGAATCCTTCTGGTCCTGGGCTTTTTTTTTTGGTTGGTATACTATTAATTATTGCCTCAATTTTAGAACTTGTTCTTGGTCTATTCAGGGATTCAACTTCTTCCTGGTTTAGTCTTGGGAGGGTGTACATGTCCAGGAATTTATCCATTTCTTCTAGATTTTCTAGTTTATTTGTGTAGAGGTGTTTATAGTATTCTCTGATGGTAGTTTATATTTCTGTGGGATCAGTGGTGATATCCCCTTTATCATTTTTTATTGTGTGTATTTGATTCTTCTCTCTTTTCTTATTAGTCTAGCTAGTGGTCTATTTTGTTGATTTTTTCAAAAAACCAGCTGCAGGATTTGTTGATTTTTTGAAGGGTTTTTCTTGTCTCTATATCCTTCAGTTCTGCTCTGATCTTCGTTATTTCTTGTCTTCTGCTAGCTTTTGAATTTGTTTCCTCTTGCTTCTCTAGTTCTTTTAATTGCGATGTTAGATTGTCAATTTGAGATCTTTCCTGTCTTCTGTTGTGGGCATTTAGTGCTATAAACTTCCCTTTTAACACTGCTTTAGCTGTGTCCCAGAGATTCTGGTACATTGTCTCTTTGTTCTCACTGGTTTCAAAGAACTTCTTGATTTCTGCCTTAATTTCATTATTTTTCCAGTAGTCATTCAGGAGCAGGTTTTTCAATTTCCAGTAGTTGTGTGGTTTTGAGTGAGTTTCTTAATCTTGAGCTCTAATTTGATTGCACTGTGATCTGCGAGACTGTTTGTTACAATTTCTGTTCTTTTGCATTTACTGAGGAGTGTTTTACTTCCAATTACGTGGTCAATTTTTGAATAAGTGCCATGTAGCACTGAGAAGAATGTATGTTCTGTTGATTTGGGGTGGAGAGTTCTGTAGATATCTATCAGGTCCACTTGATCCAGAGCTGAGTTCAAGTCCTGAATATCCTTCTTAATTTTCTGTCTCATTGGTCTGTCTAATATTAACAGTGAGATGTTAAAGTCTCCCACTATTATTGTGTGGGAGTCTAAGTCTCTTTGTACATCTCCAAGAATCACACATATGCATAAAAGTTTCTAAATTACTCTACTGGTCTGCATTGCTGCCACTTCAATCATTTTTGTCATCTGCTAGCACTCTTAGCAACCAGTGTGAAAAAAATTTATACATGCAATTATAAGATTGAAAAATGTCCATGTATTAGCCTAACATTTCCTCCCTGTGAGTTGAGAAAAAAAGCACCAGTATTAGAGTTTAGTTGAAAATCCTTCAATTGGTCTTGTTGTGGGGGCGGGGGTGGGATAAGCCCTGGAATGTAAAGCAAACAAGCCATTGAATAGGAAGACATAGGGGCTCTGCCCAGCACAATGAAAACATCTTTAAACATGCCTAATAGTTTAATTAACATATCAAACCTTTCTTTAAAAGGTTTATTGGGGAGAGCCCAAGATAGCTGAACAGAAACAGCTCCAGTCTGCCGCTCCCAGTGAGACCAATGCAGAAGGCAGGTGATTTCTGCATTTCCAACTAAGTTACTCAGTTCATCTCATTGGGACTGGTTAGGCAGTGGGTGCAACCCATGGAGAGTGAGCAGAAGCAGGGTGGGGCATCCTTTCATCCAGGAAATGCAAAGAGCTGGGGGACTTCCCTCCCCCAGCCAAGGGAAGTAGTGAGAGACTGTGCTATCTGCCCCAGGTACTATGCTTTTCCCATGGATTTTTGCAATCTGCAGATCAGGAGATTCTCTCATGAGCCTGTACCACCAGGGCCCTGGGTTTCAAGCACAAAACTAGGGTGGCTGTTTGGGCAGGAGAAGAAGAGACATTCTGTTTTTTTTTTATTTTCAGCATTTTTGCACTGTTTTTCCCTCATCTTCATAGATTTATGTACCTTTTATCTTTGAGGCTGATGACCTTTGGATGGGGTTTTTGTGTGGGGGTCTTTTTTGTTGTGGTTGTTGTTGTTGCTTTCTGTCTGTTAGTTTTTTTTTTTTTTGACCCTCAGGCCCCCTCTTCTGCAGGTCGTTGTATATTGCATACCTATGCCATATTCAGTTTGTATAAAATTGCTCCTACTTTCCAAGATTGAGTTAAATATGTCAGGATTTCATAGTGTTTCTCAAAGGGTACTGAATCCCAGATGCTTCTATCTGAACAAGATTGACAATCTCCCCTCATAAAGAAACAAACTAAAATTTACTGAGAGCATACTTCGTCCTATTCTTTAAAAACGTTTTTTTTTTAGAAATTTTGAATTCTGTAGTACATTTTATAAATGTGAAAACTGAGGATTTCGGAGAGTAAGTGACCTGCTTTAATTCACACAGAAGTAAGAAATAGAGAATCCAGTGTGAAAATGCATATAGATATGAAGCTATATTAAATTAGCAGTTACTCTGTGAGGCTGGCTTGTAGACACCAGTAAAATGCCATAGTCATACACTCAGTACTCCTCTTTTAAACATAATATTTCAGAAATAAAAAAGGAAAAGAATATAATTAACAGTTGTGTACCAACTACCTAGATTAAGAAAAAAAAGTACAAAACAATAAAAAGCTTTTATGTCCCTTCTCACATTTCCCCGACTCCAGAATTTGGGTTTATCATTTCTATGAATGTTTTTTAATTGGAACTATATTAAGTTCTTAGGTTTATTTTGGGACAATTAACATTAATAATCATTGAATCTTCCTCTCCATAAACATTTCTCACAATTTCTTTGGTTTTTCTTTAAAGTAATGTGATAACAGTTTGTAATTTCCCCCCATAAAAGTTGTATACATCTTTTGTTAGATCCATTACTTTGTATCTTTTAAAATTCTGCTGAAAATGGCACCTTTTAAAAGTTACATCTTCTAGAACTAGAGAAGCAAGAGCAAACAAACCCCAAAGCTAGCAGAAGACAATAAATAATCAAAATCAGAGCTGAATTGAAGGAGACTGAGACACAACAAAAAACATTCAAAAGATCAACGAGGCCAGGAGATGCTTTCTTTAAAAAAATTAATAAGATAGTTGGTCTATTGGTTAAACTAATAAAGAAGAAAAGACAGAAGATCCGAATAAACACAATTAGAAACGACAAAGGGGTTATTACCACTGACACCACAGAAATAAAAATAACTATCAGAAGGTATTATGAACACCTCTATGCACACAAACTAGAAAAATCTAGAAAAAATGGATAAATTCCCAAACAAATACATCCCACCAAGACTGAACCAGGAAGAAATTGAACTCCTGAACATACCAATAATGAGCTCCAAAATGGAATCAGTAATAGCCTACCAAAAAAAAAAAAAAAAAAAAAAGCCCTAGACCAGAGGGATTCACAGCCAAATTCTATCAGATTTACAAAGAAGAGCTGGTACCATTCCTACTGAAACTATTCTAAAAAAATGAGGAGGAGGGACTCCTCTACAGCTCCTTCTATGAGGCCAGCATCATCCTGATACCAAAACCTGGCAGAGACACAATAAGAAAAGAAAGCTTCAGGCCAACTCCTTGAAGAACATTAATGCAAAAATCCTCAACAAAACACTAGCAAACCAAATACAGCAGCATATTAGAAAGCTAATCCACCAAGATTAAGTAGGCTTTATCCCCAGCTTGCAAGCTTGGTTCAACATATGCGAATCAATAAATGTGATTCATCATATGAACAGAACTAAAGACAAAAGCCACATAATAATATCAATAGATGCAGAAAAGGCTTTTGATAAAATTCAACAACCTGTTCATTTGAAAAACTCTCAATAAACTAGGTGTAGAAGAAACATACCTCAAAATAATGAGAATCATCTATGACAAACCCACAACCAAAATTATACCATATGGGCAAAAGCTGGAAGCATTTCCCTTGAAAACTGGCACAAGACAAGAATGCCCTCTCTCACTGCTCCTATTCAACATAGTATTGTAAGTCCTGGACAGAGAAATCAGGCAAGAGAAAGAAATAAAGGGCATCCAAATGGAAAGAGAGGAGGTCAAACTATCCCTGTTTGCAGATGATAGATTCTGTATCTAGAAAAACCCATAGTCTCACCCCAAATATCTTTAAGCTGATAAACAACTTCAGCAAAGTTTCAGGATACAAAATCAATATACAAAGATCACTAGCATTTCTATCCACCAAAAACAGCTACATTGAAAGCCAAATCAGGAACGCAATACCATTCACAATTGCCACAAAAAGAATAAAATATCAAGGAATACAGCTAACCAAGGAGCTGAAAGATCTCTACAATGGGAATTACAAAACAATGCTGAAATAAACCAGAGACAACACAAAGAAATGGAAAAATATTCCATACTCATGCATAGGAAGAATCAATATTGTTAAAATGGCCATACTGCCCAAAGCAACACAGATTTAGGGCTATTCCTATCAAACTACCAGTGAACTTCTTCATAGAACTATAAAAAACACTTTACAATTCATATGGAACCAAAACAGCCTGAATAGCCAAAACAATCCTAAGCAAAAAGAACAAGGCAGGAGGCATCGCCCTACCCAACTTCAAACTACACTACAGGGCTATAATAACCAAAAGAGCATCACACTGGTACAAAAGCAGACACATAGACCAATAGAACAGAATAGAGAGCACAGAAATAAGGTCTCACACCTATAACCATCTGATCTGTGACAAAGCTGGCATAAACAAGCAATGGGAAAAGGGCTCCCTATTCAATAAATGGTGCTGGGATAACTGACTAGTCATATGCAGAAGATGGAACCTGGAGCCCTTCCTTACACCACATGCAAAAATCAACTCAAGATGGACTAAAGCCTTCAATGTAAAACCCAAAACTATAAAAACCCTAGAAGACGACCTAGGCAATACCATTCTGGACATAGGAACTGTCAAAGATTTCATGACAAAGATGCCAAAAGCAATTGCAACAAAAGCAAAAAGTGACAAATGGGATCTAATTAAACTAAAGAGCTTCTGCACAGCAACAGATAATATCAACTGAGTAAAAAGATATCATACAGAATGGGAGAAAATGTTTTAATATTTCAAAAAGTGGTACATGTACACCATGGAGTGTAAATTAGTTCAACTATTGTGGAAAGCACTGTGGCGATTCCTGAAAGAGCTAAAAACAGAACTAACTGGGATTGCTGGGTATATATCCAATGAAATATAAAACATTCTACTGTAAAGACACATGCACATATATGTTAATTGCAGCACTATTCACAATAGCAAAGATATGAAATCAACCTAAGTGCTCAACAATGGTAGACTAAATTTTAAAAAGTGGTACGTATACTCCATGGAATACTATGCAGACATAAAAAAGAACAATATCATGTCCTTCGCTGGAACATAGATGAAGCTAGAGGCCATTATCCTTAGCAAACAAACACAGGAACAGAAAACCAAAGACCACATGTTCTCACTTATAAGTGGGAGCTAAATGATGAGAACACATGGACACAAAGAGGGAAACAGCAGACATTGGGGCCTACCAGAGAGTGGAGTGTGGGAGGAGGGAGAGTGTCAGAAAAAATAACTATTGAGTACTAGACTTAGTACTTGGGTGACGAAATAATCTGTACATCAAACCCTAGTGACAGGAGGTTACTTATATAACAAACCTGCACATGTACCCCTGAATCTAAAATAGAAGCTTTAAAATAAATAAATAATAAACACATAAATAAAATAAAAAATAAAATTTACATTTTCTAAATATAATAGATTTTAATGTATATATCTTATTTTTAGTGAATTTGCTGAAACTTCTTACCAATCCTAGTAATATTTCTATAAGCATTTTCAGGTCTTCTGTGTAGGCAATTGTGTATTCTGTAAATGGTGGTAGTTTTATTTCTTACTTTTCCAATCTAATAAATTCTATTTTTTTTTTTTTAGTTCTTATCTTACCATGCTGGATAGAATCACCACAACAATGTTGAAATGAAGTAAAAATAGCAGTACATTTGTCTTAATCCTTATTTAAAAAATAAGGCTGCTAGATAATTGAATATGAATTTTAAGGTAAGATATGGCTCCTGGATTTATTTATAACTCAAAGTAGATACATAAATAGTAAAATGATTATATTTATTGGTTCAGATAAGCACCAGGAATTGCAGGACTATTTCATGTTAAAATTTGGGGGAAATTTTTAACAATAAGAGATTATAATCGGTTTTATATTTTACATGCAGCTATCATTTATAGGAAAACTAAAATGACTAAATAATACTTGGAAATAAACTAATATTCTAAAGGGAATGAGTAAATGTTTTCTGAAATCACAAAGGGCAGGCTAAAATTTGCCCTTTCAGTTTGAATTAGTGGAAAAGATTTGCATCACAAAAAACACAATTATTCTGAAATGATAGAGTACCACAAGTATAAACTTAGAGAAATAAATTAATGCATGTCATTATTAAAGTTTTTATGGACACAACTACAATTTCTCTAGTGTGAAAAAAACAAGGCTTCTAAATGACCTTATCGTATATATAGAAAACCCTCAGGACTCCCCCCCAAAAAATGTTAGAACTTACAAATAAATTTAGTAATGTTGCGGTATACAAAAACAATATGCAAAAATCAGTACCATTTTTACACACTAATAATAAACTTTCTGAAAAGAAAACAATACCATTTACAATAGCTACAAAAAATAAAATACTTATGAATAAATTTAACCAAGGATGTCAATGATCTGTACACTGAAAACTACAAAACATATACGAAAGAAACTGAAGACACAAATAAATGGAAAGACATCTTGTGTTCTTGAATTGGAAGAATTAGTATTGTTAAAATGTCCATACTACTCAAGGTGATACATAGATTCAATGACATTCCCATCAAAATTCCAACGACATTTTTCACATAAATAGAAAAAAAAATCCTAAAATTCATATGGAACACAAAAAACCGCTAATAGCCAAAACAATTGAGCAAAAAGAATAAACCTGGAGGCATTATACTACCTGATTTCAAAATATACTACAAAGCAATGAAAACAGCATGGTACTGGTGTAAAAACAAACACATAGGCCAATTAAGTGGAATAGAAATCCCAGAAGTAAATCCAGGCATTGATGATCAATTGATTTTTGACAAAGATGCCAAGAACACACAATGAGGAAAGGACAGTCTCTTCAATAAATAGTGTTGGAAACATTTGATATTCACATACAGAAGAATGAAATTGAACCCTTATCTCACTCCATACACAAAAATCAAGTCAAAATGGATGAAAAACTTAACCACAAAACCTGAAACTGTAAAACTCCAGGAAGACAACATAGGAAAAAGTTTCATGACATTGATCTAGGCAATGACTTTTTTTTAAATATGACCCCAAAGCACAAGTAACAAAAGCAAAGGAAGAGAAATGGGATTCCACCAAACTAAACAGCTCATGCACAGGAAAAGAAACAATCAACAGAGTTAAGAGATGACCTAAGGAATGAAAGAAAATATTTGCAAGTCATATGGAGTTTATAAGAGGTTAATATTCCATTAAGGAAACTGTGTGAAGGGTATTTGGGGTCTCTGTATATTATTTCTCAAAACTATTTTTTAGTTTAGGGGTTAATATTTAAAGCATGTAAGGTATTCAAACAACTCAATGGTAAAATAAATAACCTAATCAGATTAATCAAAAAATAGGCAAAAGGCCGGTCGCGGTGGCTCACGTCTGTAATCCCAGCACTTTGGGAGGCTGAGGTGGGTGGATCACGAGGCCAAGAGATCAAGACCATCCTGGCCAACATGGTGAAACCCTGTCTCTACTAAAAATACAAAAATTAGCTGGGCGTGGTGGTGCACGCCTGTAGTCCCAGCTACTGGGGAGGCTGAGGCAGAAGAATCGCTTGAACCCGGGAGGCGGAGGTTACAGTGAGCCGAGATTGCGCCACTGCACTCCAGCCTGGCTACAGAGTGAGACTCTGCCTCAAAGAAAAAAAAAAAAAACAAAAAAAACAGGCAAAAGACCTACATAGACATTTCTCTCCAAAGGAGACATACAAATCTCTAACAAGTATATCAAAAAATGATCAGCACTCCCAATCTTCAGGAAAATGCAGTTTAAAATCACAATGAAATATCAATTCACCTTGTTAAAATAGCTATTGTCAAAAAGACGAATGAACAAGTGTTGGCAAGAAGGTGGAGAAAAGAGAATCCTTGTACACTGTTGGTGGGAATGTAAATTAGTACAGCCATTATAGAAAACAGTGTGGAGGTTTCTCAAACAATTAAAAATGGAACTGCCATATGATTCAGCAATCTCACTACTGGGTATATGTACAAAGGAAATGACATCCATATATCAAAGAGATATCTATACTTCCACGTTCATTGCCACATTACTCACAGTAGCCAAGATACAGAATTAACCTAAGTGCCCATCAATGGATGAGTGGATTAAGAAAATGTGCTATACATAAAAACAATGAAATATACAATTTTCAAGTATACAATAAATTGTATAACAATTTATAATACATTTATAATAAAATAACTTATATACTTAAAAATTGTTAAGAAAGTAGGTTTTAAGTATTCTCATCATGAATAAATGATAAGAATATGCGGTAATGAAAAAATAGCAGTTGGTTAATAAGGAAAATATAAAGTGGTGATGTATAATATGAGACACTTTTTCAGCATGTCATTTTAACTTGAAATGTCTGAGTATACATTATTTGACCAGTTCTTTGATGTAGGGTCAAAGGATTTCCTTTGATGATAGGTCACTGATTGGTATACTGCATTTTTTAAACAAGCAATACCCACGACACTGAAAAAAAAAGTCCGCTAGCACTTCACCATTAAATATGATGTTTAGTGTGGAAGTTTTTGATGGATGCTCTTAATCAGATTATGAAATTCTTTTCTATTGCTAGGTTGTAAGACTTTTTAAGAGTAATAAATATTGATTCTATCAAATTATTGTTCTGCTTCTATTGAGATAATAATACTTTTTTCTCCTTTGTTTATTATGCTGAATTACACTAATGGATTTTCCTAATGGCAAGCCAACCTTGTGAAACAGGATTTTAAAATGAAACTATTTCAATCTCAGTTTTGGCTGAGACCCCAAGACAACAAACAACATATTCCAATATAAGATGTGAGACCACGATGCTGGTCTTGTGAAGGAGGTAATTGCAAACTGGTTTTGTGACCCTTTGCTGACTACCAATCTCCACATCTAAAATAAGCTGGAAAGGCTGAAGAAAAAAGGCTTAAAGTTCAGAAGGAGTTCGAAGAAAGCTGTAGGTGTTCTGTGAGTCTGAAGTTCTCCCAGGGATTGGGGGCAAGGCTCACATTCACCTTAAACCTAGGGGAAGGAGCTTCAGGGGAACCACTTGAAAGCTGGATATTGTCACCTAGATCTCAGGAGACGTAATACACTGGTTTTCTACTCTATTTGATAAATATGAACAACAGGAAGGTCTCAGAAAAACCTACAGCAGTATTCCATAAGAAAATAAATTTTCCTATCAGCTATGATAAGACATCAGCTACGTCCAGACAACGTTGATGCTGGTTCCTAATACTATTAATCAAGAAAGAACTTACTCTTCTTTTTCCTGTCACCTATCCCCTCCTCTGCTGCAATTCTAGAGGTGTCAGAAAACTTCATATGGCAGAAGAGAGTTAGAAATACTTTATGGAGAAAATGTTGAAGGACATCTGTGTTGTTTCCAGTTCTTGGTTATTATAAATCAAGTTGCTATGAAGATTTGTGTACAGATTTCTGGGGAAAAATAAATTTCCATTTCTCTAGGAGAAATACCGAAGAGTATAATTTCTGGGATGTATGATATAGGTATGTTTAGTTTTTTTATGAAACTGTCAAACTACTTTCTAGATTGGGTGTACCATTTTACATACCCACCAGCAACGGATGAATAATTCAGTTTCTTCTCATGTCCACCAGCATTTGGTGTTGTCAACAGTTTTTTGTTTTTTTTTTGTTTTAGCCATTTTAATATGGTGTAGTGATATCTCTTGGTGGTTTTAATTTGCATTTCTCTAATGGTTAATAAAGTTGAACATATTTTCATATATTTCTTTGCCACTTGTATATTTCATTCAGTGAAATGTCTGTCTTTTACCCATTTTCTAATTGTATTATTTGTTTTTTACTATTAAGTTTTGAGAGTTAGTTACATATTCTAGACAATAGTCCTATTTCTTAGTTCTCTGTCTTATTCCTTTGATCTATGTGCCTATCCTTTTGCCAATACCACACTGTCTTGATTACTGTAGCTATGTGGTAAGCCTTAAGTTGGATAGAATGATTCCTCCCCCTTTATTCTTTTCTTCAAGATTCTTTTAGCTATCCCAGGGCCTGTGCCTTTCCATATAAATTTTACTATAAGGCTTGTCTATTTTTACAAAACTCCTTGCTGGAATTTTCTTTTTAAAATTAATTTTTAAAAATAATTCGTATTGTGCATTATTAAGGTATACAACATGATGGCTGTGAGATACATACATATAGCAAAAAACGTTTACTAAAGTGAAGCAAACTAACATATCCATCATCTCACATAGCCACTTTTCTTGTTTTTGTTTTTGTATTTCGGCACCAGCAGCTAAAATCTATTCATCTAGCATGAATCTTAAATACAATACAATTTTGTTACCTATAGTTCTCATGTTGTACACTACATTTCTAGACTTTTTCAGCATAACATATCTGCTACTCTGTATCTTCTGACTTATATCTTCTGATTTCCTCCCTACCTCCCCACCTTTGCCCCTGGTAGCCACTCTTTTGTTCTCTATTCCCTGTATATTTAATTCTTAAAAAAGATTTCACATATAAATGAGGTGATGTAATATTTTGTCTTCTGTTCCTGGCTTATTTCATTTAGCATAATGTCCTCCAGGCTCATCCGTGTAGTAAATGGCAAGATCTCATTCTTTTTTAGGGCTGAATAATATTCTATTGTGTATATACACTACATCTTCTTTATCCACTCATCTGATGATGGACACTTAGGTTGTTTATCTTTTCTATTGTGAGTAATGATGCAATAAACATGGGTGTGCAGATATCTTTATAAGGTGATGATTTCACTTCCTTTGGGCATATGCCCAGAAGAGGGACTGCTGAGTCATACGGTAGTTCTGTTTTTAATTTCTTTAGAAACCTCCATACTGTTTTCCACAATGGCTGTACCAATCTACATTCCCACCAATAGTGCATAAGAGTTCCCTTTTCTCCACACCCTCACCAACATTTATCTTTTGGCTTTTTGATAATAGCCATACTAATGGGTGTGAGGTAAAATCTCATAGTGTATTTGATTTGCATTTCCCTAGTTATTAATGGTATTGGGCACCTTCTCATATACCTGTTGGTGTTTTTTATGTCTTTGGAGAAATGTCAATTTAATTCTTTTTTTCCATCTTTTAATTGGTTTGTTTTCCTACAATTGAATTGTATGAGATATTCATAAATTTTGGACATCAAACCCTTATCAGATATATAATTTGCATTTTTTCTGGTATATAGGCTTCTGCTTCATTTTGTTGATTGTTTCATTTGCTCTGCAGAAGCTTTTTAGTTTTATGTAGTCTCATTTATTTATTTTTGCTTATGCGGACTTAACTTTTGGGGTGATATCCAAAAAATCATTGTCAGGCCCAATGTCAAGGAGTTTTTCCTGTATGTTCTCTTCTAGTAGTTTTACAGTTTTATGTTACATTTAGGTCTTTTAGCCATTTAGAGTTGATTATTGTGTATGGTGTAAGATAAGAGTCTGATTCAGTCTTTTGCATGTGGAAATCTGGTTTTTGTAGCACTGTTCATTGAAGAGACCATCCTTTCCCCGTTGTGTCTTCTGGTTTACCTTATTGAAAATTAGGTGACTGTATACATTTAGTTTTATTTCTGGGCTGTCTATTCTGTTTCTACTGGATGATAATGTGTACTCTTTTTGATGTGTTGTTGAATTCAGTATGCTAATATTTTTTTGAGGATTTTTGCATCAATGCTTATCAGAGAGACTGACCTGTAGTTTTATTTTCTTATGATATCATTGTCTGACTTAGTTATCAAGGTGATGGTGACTTCATAAAATGTTTTTGAAAGTATTTCTTCCAACTCTATTTTGGAAACGTTTAAGAAATATTAGTAGTAATTATTTGAATGTTTGATAGAATTCAGCTGTGAAGCTATGTAGTCCTGAGATTTTCATTTTGGAAGGTTTTATTTATTACTTCTTTCATGTGTTTATTTGTTATTGGTCTGTTCATACTGTCTATTTCTTCCTGACGCAATTGATAGGTTTTATTTTTCTAAGAATTTGTCCATTTCCTATAGGTTATCCAATCTGTTGGTATATAATTTTTCATAATAGTCTGTCACAATCCTTTTTATATCTGAGGCATTTTTTTGTAATTTCTTCACTTTATTATTGTATTTATTTCAGTCTTCTCTCTTTTTTTCTTAGGCTAGCTAAGGGTGCGTTGATTTTGTTTATTTTTTTAAAAAAACTAACTCTTAGTTTTATGATTTTTTTCTATGGTTTTTCTGTTCTCTATTTTATTTCTTTCTATTTGGATTCTTATTACTTACTTCCTTCTGCTAATTTTGGGATAATTTGTTCTTCTTTTTCTAGTTCCTTGAGGTAATTGTTGAATGGACAATTATGTATATGTCTGTTAAGGTCCATTTGGTCAAAGTACATTTCAGTCCAATATTTTCTCATTATTTTTTTTTCTGGTTGATCTACCCATTATTCAAATTGAAGTATTGAATTATATTGCTATTCTTCCTCCATGTACATTAATATTTGATTTATGTATCTAGATGCTCCAATGTTGGGTGCCTATATATTTATAATTGTTATGTCCTTTTGATGAATTGACCTCTTTATCATTAAATAATGACTCTGTCTCTCGTGATAGTTTTGGTAACCATTTGCATGGAATATCTTCTTCCATCCCTGCATTTTCAGCCAATGTGCACCCTTAAATTTTAAGTGGATATCTTGTAGGCAGCATATAGTCTATTTGGTTTGTTGTACCTTCAGCCACTGCATATCTTTTGATTGGACAGTTTAATCCACTTACATTCAAGGTTATTATTGATAGGTAAGAGTTACTATTGCCAATTTGTTCATTGTTTTCTGGTTGTTTTGCAGATCTTTTCTTCCTTTCTTGTTGTCTACCTTTGTAGTTTTGTAGTTTGATAAGTTTTTGTAGTGCAAATCTTCATTTCCTTTCTCGTTACCACTTGTATGTCTGCTGTAGTGTTTCGTTTTGTGGTTAACATAAGGCTTACATAAAACATCTTAGAGTTATAATCAACTATTTTAAGCTGATAACAACCTAAATTCTATTGCATATAAAAATGCTAGACTTTTACACCCCACTCACAGATTTTTTTTTTTTAGAGATGTGGTCTTTCTCTGTTGCCCAGGCTGGGGTACAGTGGCACGATTATAGGATCATAGCTCACCAAAGCCTCAAACTCCTGGGTTTAAGCAATCTTCTCACCTCAGCCTCCTGATTAGCTGAGACTACAGGCATGTACCATGATGCCTGGGTAATTAAAAAAAATTGTAGAGACTTATTGCCCAGGCTGGCACAATTTATGTTTCTGATGTCATGATTTATACCTTTTTATATTGTGTATTTCTTAACAACTTATTGTAGCTTTGGTTATTTTTTACCCTTTCCACTTTTAACCTTCATACTAGAGATATTTATACACCACCATTACAGTATTGGAATATTCTGGATTTGACTATGTATTTACTTCTACCAATGAGTTTTATACTTTCATATCTATTCATGACAGTAATTATTGCCCTGTCATTTCCACTTGAAGAAATGCCTTTAGTATTTCTTCTAGAGAAGGTCTAGTGATGATGAATTCCTACAGCTTTTGCTTGTCTGAAAAAATATTTCTACCTCATTTCTGAAAGACAGCTTAGCTGGGTACAATATTATTTGTTAGTAGGGTTTTTTTTTTCTTTCATCACTTTGAATATATCATCCCATTCTCTAATGGCTTTCAATGTTTCTGCTGAGAAATCCACTTACAGCCTAATGGGTATTCACTTATATCTGACTTGACACTTTTTTCCTGCTGCTTTAAAAATTCTGTCTTTGGCTTTTTAGAGTTTGCTATATTATGCCTTGGAGAATATCTCTTTGGGTTGTATCTGTTTGGGGGCTTTTATATTTCATGGATCTGGATGTCTAAATCTGTCCCAAGACTTGAGAGGTTTTCAGCAATTATTTCATTAAATAATTTTTCTGTCTCTTTCTCTGTCTCCTCTCCTCTGTAACTCCCATAATGTGAAAATATGTTCATTTAATGGCGTCCTATATGTCCTATAAGCTGTCTTCATTCTCTTTTGTTCTTTTTTTCACTCTAAGTAATTTTAAAAGACCTATTTTCAAGATTTTTTTCTTCTGCTTGCTCCAGTCCGCTGTTAAAGCTCTCTGTTGAATTTTTATTTCATTGAATGAATTCTTCGGTTCCAAGATTTGTTTACTTTTTTTAATCATATCTATGTCTTTGTTGAATTTCTTATTCAGATCCTAAATTGTTTTCCTAATTTCACTGAATTGTCCATTTATGTTCTCTTATATCTCACTCAGTTTCCTTAAGATCATTATTTTGAATTCATTTTCAGGCAATCCATAAATTTCCATGGAGGAGGAGGTCACTTACTGGAGAACTATTGTGTTCCTTTGGTAGTGGCATGTTCCCTTGCTTTTTAAATGTTTCCTGTATCACTGTGTTGATATCTGCACATCTGGTGACCCAGTCACTTCTTCCAGACTCTATAGAGTGGCTTTCATAGGGAAAGACTTTCACCTGCAGACAAGCCTGAGAGTGCTGATTAGGAAAGGTGCAGTGGTTCTGATAATGCGTAAATGCAGTAGTGTTGTCTTTATGCAGTTCCTTTGGCTATGATCAATGTCATCAATGACTGCAGGTGACTCAGTGTTCTAAGCTGCATAGATTTGTAGCAGTGATGGTGGCTGTGTAGGTTATTAGGGCAAGGGTTTTAGGGATTCTTCTGTTCTTATTTTCCCCACAGTGGGAAGTCTTAGCTGAGATAATCTCTCTTGGTCTCAGGTCTGCCATATTCCAAAGGCAGCCACAAGTGGCAAGGAGATCCAGAGCACAGGTGCTCAGAGCAGCTATGGAGCTGGGTTCCTGGGCTTGTGAAACTACTGTATCACTTGGGACTTGAGGCACAGGTTCACTTTCCAAGGCATGGGTGGATGTAACTAAGCTGTTCCTCTGAGACACACCCCAACAGTTCAGGCCTAGGGGACCGGAATGTAGCTGCAGTTCTGACCCTGCCGGGTACAGCAATGTCACAGCTCTAGGGAAGAAAGGGTGCCCCAGAAGCTTGGGCCCTGAAGAACAGGGTACAATTGCAATTCAGGACCCAGAATGAACAGGGCACGGTGGCAGCTCAGACCCTGTAGGGTGACATATCATAAAGTAGTAGCTCTGCTTCTACACAGCAAAAGAAATTGTCAACAGAGTAAACAGACAAGCTACAGAATGGGAGAAAATATTTGCAAACTGTGCATCCAAATAAAATTATCCAGAATCTAGAAGGAAAGTAAACAATTCAATGAGGAAAAAAACACAAATAACTCCATTAAAAGTGGGCAAAGGACGGGAACAGACACTTCTCAGAAAAAGACATACAAGTGGCCAAAAAACATGAAAAAATGCTCAACATCACTAATCATCAGAGAAATGCAAATCAAAACCACAATGAGATACCATCTCACACCAGTCAGAATGGCTATTAGTAAAATGTGAAAAAATAACAGACGTTGGCACCATTGTGGAGAAAAGAGAATGCTTATACACTGTTGATGGGAATGTAAATTAGTTCAGCCACTGTGGAAAGCAGTTTTGGAGATTTCTCAAAGAATTAAAAATAGAACTCCCATTAAATCCAGCAATTCTTTTACTGGGCATATACCCAAAGGAAAATATATTCTTCTACCAAAAAGACACACGTACCCCATGTATGTTTATCACCGCACTATTCACAGTAGCAAAAACATAGAATCTGACTGGGCGTGGTGGCTCATGCCTGTAATCCTAGCACTTTTGGAGGCTGAGGCGGGCAGATCACCTGAGGTCAGGCGTTCGAGACCAGCCTGGCCAAAATGACAAAACCCTGTCTCTACTAAAAATACAAAAAAATTACCTGAGTGTGGTGGCACATGTCTGTAGTCCCAGCTACTCGGGAGGCTGAGGCAGGAGAATCGCTTGAACCCTGGAGGCAGAGGTTGCAGTGAGCCGCAATCGCACCACTGCGCTCCAGCCTGGGCGACAGAGTGAAACTCCAACTCAAACAAAAAAAAAAAAGAAAAAAGAAAAAAAAAAGAAAAGAAAAGATAGAATCAACCTAAGTGCCCATCAGAGGTGAAGTGGATAAAGAGAATGTGGTATTTATACACCATAAAATACTATGCAGCCATTAAAAATAATGAAATCATGCCCTTTGCCACAACATGGATGCAGCTAGAGGCTATTATCCTAAGCAAGCTAACACAGAAACAAAAAATGAAGTATCACATATTCTCACTTATAAGTGGGAGATAAACATTGGGTGCATATGGACATAAAGATGGGAATAATATACACTGGGGACTTTAGAAGCAGGAAAAGAGGGAGGTAGGCAAGAGCTGAAAAACTTCCCATTGAGTACTATATTCACTACAGGTGACAGGTGCAGTAGAAGCCCAAACCTCAGTGTCATGCAAGATACCCTTGTAAAAAACCTGCATATGTACCCTTTGAATCTAAAATAAAAATTAAAATAAATAAATGAGTAAAATTAAAGAAAAACTTAAAAAGAAAGTCAAAGTGGTAACTCTGGACCCTAAAAGGGTGAGACACAGCAGTATTCCAGGTTCTGTGAGGCTGGGTGCAGCAGCAGCACAGACCCAAGAATGTCAAGATGCTATTGTGGTTTGGGCCCGGGAGAAGAAGCAAAGCAATGACCCCACTGCTCAGAGGCAGGGCACCTTAGCAGCTCAGGCTGTGAGGGGTTAGTCACTTCCAGGGAGGCGAGCACGGTGGCTGTTTGGTCTGGAGGGTGGCCTAGGACATCTTACCCAAGATTTGATTTCCTGGGACATAAGGCACTGAATCTGCTTGTTCCCAGAAAGTGTGGCTACACGGGCTGGTGGTGCCTCCAGATCCCAGGTGAGGTTTCTATGTTAGCTGTTGCACTGGGGGTGCAACCTCTCTGGTGTGCTGGGGGCTCAGAGCTCCTGAGAGACAGGATGCTGCCTTGGCTGTGGTGCCACAAGTGCAACTGCTCCAGAGTGCAGGAAACCAGCGGTCTCTGGGAAGCTGAGCTCCAATTTAGCTCAGCCCTAAATGGAGGGTGTATCAGTGGCTGGGATGGGGGTGGAATGAAGCAGCTTCATGGTAGCTTGGCCCTAGGGGGTAATACATAGCAGCACCTTGAGTCAAGGATGGTATGCTACTGGGCAAGTGTGCTGGAGTGGCAGCAAAACCTCAGAGATGGAGGGGTGCAATGGCTACTCACCCCCAGAGCAGGACATACTCTAGTAGTGGCTCCAGTTCCAAGATGGTGCAGCACAGTAGCAGCACAGGCCACAGGGAGAGGGGAGGTGGTAGGACACAGCATCAGCTCCTTCTCTGAGGGTAGCTCTAGGAACCTCCCTCAGCTAGGCTCAGAGCCTGTGAGGACTGCGGGAGTTTCTGCTAGTGAAGAGGGCAGGTGTCTGCAGTGGTGATGGGAACTGCTGGGGTCCTCTTGCTTACCTTTGCACTGCAGGAAGGAATCCCACTTGGTTCTGAGGTAATTCTAATCGAAGGAATGGGGTGACAGAGGCAAAGTATTTCCTCCCCTTCTCTATGTAGCCATCTTGGGTTTCTGTACTTTACAGGATTTCTGATGCATCATTGCTGTTCCCCAGAGCTCTCGCCCTGTTATTTTGGTCAAAATGTTGTTGTTTTATTGTTTTTTTGTGTGTGGGGGTGGAGCGGAGAGTGCTAAGAGCTTCTAGTTGGCTGTCTGGCTAATGTCATTGACTCACATTTCTCTGATTTTCTTCTCTATATTTTTTGTGGATATATTCTGTTATCTTTTTTTAAATATCTTATGTTGGACCCTCATCTGGCTCATTTTTATCCTATCTTTCTTTTTCAAAGGTACTGATTTAACATTATACATTTTATTTTACACACTGCTTTAGCTGCATCCATCATTTCATCATTTCTATATTTTAATATAAAATCTTTCATTTTTTAGTTCCATTTTCTAATACCCATTTATGATTTCTCCTTTGTCTGTGAGTTGTTTAGAATAGTGTATGTTTATGGATATATGTGTGTCTTTTAATTTCCAGAAGTTTGGAGGTATTAGTTATCTTACTTATTTTTAACTTTATTGAGTCATGATCAGAGAATGACGGCTCTATGAGCTAAGATTATTTGAAATGTGTTGAGACTTGCTTTATATCACAGAATATGGTTCATTTTCATAAATGAAATATTTTATTTTACCATATTTTGCACTAGTCTCTTCATTGTAAAATTTAACATAAATTTCTTAGATCATGATTGTTTAATTCTATTTTTCAAATCATCTATGAGTTTAATTATTTATTTCTGCTTATGCTTAATTACTGATAAATGAGTAAAACTCTTCCATCATGATGTTGCAAATTTCAGTTTAAAAGATTGTCAAGTTTTGCACTATATATTTTGATGCTTTTATTTCCTTTGGGTAATTGTAAACTTTTAGAAGCACTCTTTAATCCTAGTAATAATTTTTACCTTAAATATTACTTAAATGGGAAATCATGTAGCTATGCAAGCTTTCTTTTGATACTATAGGCCAGTATACACTTTTCCATTCCTTTATTTCAACTTTTCTGTATTATTATATTTTAGATATTTATTTCCTACAGGGTATATAGCTGGCTCTTAGTTTTTATTGAATCTGGAAATCTCCATATATATTAACCAGAAAACTCACTTCATTCACATTTATTATGATTTCTGATATATCTGGATTTATTTCTACCATTTGTTTTTTGTTTCTCTGTGTTTCTGCTTTTTTCTAGATTGTGCCTTCTTTGGCAAGCAGTAATTTATTTATAATACTTATTTCACTTTATTATTTTTATTTTGGTAAAAAGCAAGTAAAAAAATAGAAATTCACACTCAAAGTTTAAGTGTACAGTATTGTATTGTCAACTATAAGTACAACAAATTTACAGAACATTTTTATCTTAAATGACTAAACTATAACAAATTTACAGAACGTTTTCATTGTAAATGACCAAACTCAGAAACAGCAGAGTACAAAGACAACCCACAGAGTGGGAGGAAATCTTCACAATCTATACATCCGACAAAGGACTAATATCCAGAATCTACAAGAAACTCAAACAAATTAGCAAGAATAAAACAAACAATCCCATCAAAAAGTGGGCTAAAGACATGAATAGACAATTCTCAGAAGAAGATATACAAATGGCCAACAAACATATGAAAAAATGCTCAACATCACTAATGATCAGGGAAACGCAAAAAACACGATGTGATACCAACTTACTCCCACAAGAATGGCCATAATGAAAAAATAAAAAAAGAATAGATGTTGGCATGGATGAAATGGTGGTGGGAATGTAAACTAGTACAACCACTACAGAAAACAGTGTGGAGATCTCTTAAAGAACTAGAAGTAGAACTACCATTTGATCCAGCAACCCCACTACTGGGTATCTACCCAGAGGAAAAGAAATCATTTACGAAAAAGATACTTGCACACGCATGTTTACAGCAGCAAAATTTGCAATTGCAGAAATATGGAACCAGCCCAAATGCCAATCAATCAATGCATGGATAAAGAAATTGTGGTATATATATGATGGGAAACTACTCAGCCATAAAAAGGAATGAATTAATGGCATTTGCAACAACCTGGATGGAGACTATTATTCTAAGTGAAGTAACTGAGGAATGGAAAACCAAACATCACATGTTCTCACTCATAAGTGGGAGCTAAGCTACAAGGATGCAAAGACATGAGAATGATACAATGGACTTTGGAAACTCGGGGGTACGGATGGGGTGTGAGGGATAAAAGACCACAAATTGGGTTCAATGTGTACTGCTTGGGTGATAGGTGCAGCAAAATCTTACAAATTACCACTAAAGAAGCTACTCATATATACTCATGTAACCAAATACCACATGTTCCTCCCAAAACCTATGGAAATATTTTTTTTAAAGCCAAAAAAAATAGAAATTATCCTTATTTTTAAATATTAAATCAGACATTCACCATAGATTTAGTATAGCTATCCTCTGTCAGAATTACAAAGTTATATTTTTAGTTTGCTAAAAGCTATTATTATAATGGACTTTGAATTTTATCAAAATGTTTTTCCTTCCATTGAAATGATCATGTAATTTCATTCCTTCAATTTGAATTTATTAAATGATTTTCAAATGTTAAACAGTATCCCTAAATAAATTGAACTTGGTAATTAAAAAATGAACTCTGTTTCCACTAAACTCTATATCCACTAAAAAGAAATTGACTATTTCCCCTTCCACCCTAACCCCTGGAAACAACTATTCTAGTTTCTGCTTCTGTGAATGTATTACTTTAAATATCCCACGTAAGTGGAATCATGTATTATTTGTTCTTCTGTGACTGGCTTATTTCACATGTCATAATGCCCTCAGGGCTCATCTATATTGTAGCATATCACAGGATTTTCCTCTTTTGTAAAGCTGAACAATATTCCACTGTATGTGTATGCCACGTTTTCTTTATTCATTCACCCATTAATGAACATTTAGGTTGTTTCTACCTCTTGACTATTGTGAATAATGCTACAGTGAACATGGGAGTGCAAATATTTCTTTCAGATCCTGTTTTCAATTCTTTTGGTTAAATATCCAGAAGTGGGATTGCTGAATCATATAGTAATACTATTTTAAATTTTTTAGGAAACTTCATTCTGTTTTTTATAGTGAGTATACCATTTTGCATTCCAGCCAATGGTGCACAAGGGTTCCAATTTCTCCATACCTTTGCTGACACTTGGGATTTTCAGATTTCTCTCTCTTTCTCTCTCTGCCCCCGCCCTCTCTCTCTCATATGTGTGTGTCTATGCTCGTGTGTGTGTGTTTAAATAATGAATAATGACCATCCTAACAGATGTGAGGAGGTATCTCATTGCAGTTTTTATTTGCATCTCCTGGATGATTAGTGATGCTGAAAGTCTTTCCATATACTTGTTGGCTCATCATATGTCTTTTTTGGAGAAGTGTCTAATCAAGCCATTTGCCTATTGTTTAATTGGGTTATTGTTTTATTGCTACTGAGTTATAGGGCTTATGTATTTTGGTTGTTAACCCCTTATCAGATACATGGTTTATAAATATTCTCTCCCATTCGATAGGTTGCATTTTCAATTTATTGATTGTTTCATTTGTTGTGCAGACACTCTTCAGTTTGATATAGTCCCACTTGTCTATTTTTGCTTTTGTTGCCTGTGCTTTTAGTGTTATATCTACTAAATCATTGCTAAGACCAATGTTATGAAGATTTTTCCCTATGTTTCCTCTAGCAGTTTTACAGTTTCCATTCTTGTGTTTGTCTTTAATACATTTGGAATTGATTTTTCTGTACAGTGTAAGATAGAGTAAAATTTTATTCTTATGCATGAGGATAGTCAGTTTTCCCAACACCACTTATTGAACCTACTGTCCTTTCCCTATCACATAGTATGGCTCCCTTGTTAAAGTAGTTGACTGTGTATGCGTGGATTTATTTCTGTATTCTGTTCCATTGTTCAATGTTTTTCTTTTTTTATATACTTTAAGTTCTGGGATACATGTGCAGAACGTGCAGGTTTGTTACATAGGTATACACGTGCCATGGTGGTTTGCTGCACCCATCAACCCATCGTCTACATTAGGTATTTCTCCTAATGCTATCCCTCCGCTAGCCCCCCACCCCGACAGGCCCCAGTGTGTGATGTTGCCCTCCCTGTGTCCATGTGTTCTCATTGATCAACTCCTACTTGTGAGTGAGAACATGCAGTGTTTGGTTTTCTATTCCTGTGTTAGTTTGCTGAGAATTCATTTCCATCTTCATTCATGTCCCTGCAAATGACATGAACTCATCCTTTTTTATGGCTGCATAGTATTCCATTGTGTACATGTGCCACATTTTCTTTATCCAGTCTATCATCGATGGGCATTTGGGTTGGTTCCAAGTCTTTGCTATTGTGAATAGTGCTGCAATAAACATACGTGTGTGTGTCTTTATAGTAGAATGATTTATAATCCTTTGGGCATATACCCAGTAATGGGATTGCTGGGTCAAATGGTATTTCTGGTTCTAGATCCTTGAGGAATCACCACACTGTCTTCCACAATGGTTGAACCAATTTACACTCCCACCAACAGTGTAAAAACACTCCTATTTCTCCACATCCTCTCCAGCATGTGTTGTTTCCTGACTTTTTAATGATTGCCATTCTACCTGGCGTGAAATGGTATTTCATTGTGGTTTTGATTTGCATTTCTCTAATAACCAGTGATGATGAGCTTTTTTTCATATGTTTGTTGGCCACATAAATTTCTTCTTTTGAGAAGTGTCTGTTCATATACTTTGCCCACTTTTTGATGGGGTTGTTTGTTTTTTTCTGGTAAATTTGTTTAAGTTCCTTGTAGATTCTGGATATTAGCCCTTTGTCAGATGGAGAGAGAGCAAAATTTTTCTCCCATTCTGTAGGTTGCCTGTTCACTCTGATAATGGTATCTTTTGCTGTGCAGAAGCTCTTTAGTTGAATTAGATACCATTTATCAATGTTGCCTTTTGTTACCATTGCTTTTGGTGTTTTAGTCATGAAGTCTTTGCCCATGCCTATGTCCTGAATGGTATTGCCTAGGATTTCTTCTAGTTTTTATGGTTTTAGATCTTACGCTTAAGTCTTTAATCTATCTTGAGTTAGTTTTTGTATAAGGTGTAAGGAAGGGGTCCAGTTTCAGTTTTCTTCACATGGCTAGCCAGTTTTCTCAACACCATTTACTAAATAGGTAATCCTTTCCCCATTGCTTATTTTTTTCAGGTTTGTCAAAAATCAGATGGTTGTAGATGTGTGGCATTATTTCTGAAGCCTCTGTTCTGTTTCATTGGTCTATATATGTGTTTTGGTACCAGTACCATGCTGTTTTGTTTGCTGTAGCCTTGTAGTATAGTTTGAAGTCAGGTAGCATGATGCCTCCAGCTTTGTTCTTTTTGCTTAGGATTGTCTTGGTTATATGGTCTCTTTTTTGGTTCCGTATGAAATTTAAAGTAGTTTTTTCTAATTCTGTGACAAAAATCAATTGTAGCTTGATGGGGATAGTGTTGAATCTATAAATTACTTTGGGCAATATGGCCATTTTCACAATATTGATTCTTCCTATCCATGAGCATAGCATATTTTTCCATTTGTTTGTGTCTCCTCTTATTTCTTTGAGCAGTGGTTTGTAGTTCTCCTTGAAGAGGTCCTTCACATCCCTTGTAAGTTTTATTCCTAGGTATTTTATTGTCTTTGTAGCAATTGTGAATGGGAGTTCACTCATGATTTGGCTCTCTGTTTGTCTATTATTGGTGTATAGGAATGCTTGTGATTTTTGCCAGTTGATTTTGTATCCTGAGACTTTGCTGAAGTTGCTTATCAGCTTAAGGAGGTTTTGGGCTGAGACAAAGGGGTTTTCTAAATATACAGTAATGTCATCTGCATCTTTTCACTTTGGGTCTGTGTATCCTTAAATCTAAAATAAATCTCTTATAGACAACATAGAGTTTGATCATTTTTAATCCATTTAGCCACTCTATTTTGATTGGGAGTTTTAATTCATTTTATTTAAAGTAATTATTTATAGGAAACGACTTACTACTGATATTTTGTTAAGTGTTCTGTCTATCCTTTTAGCTTTTTTGTTATTCTTTTCCTCTCTTGCTGTTTTCCTTTGTGTTTCTTTGAAATTTTTGTAATTTTGTAATGGCATGCTTTATTTCTTTCTCATTTTCTTTTGTATATATTCTATAAGTATTTTCTTTGTACTTACCATGGGGTTTACATAAAACACTGTATAGTTATAACAATCTATTTTAAGTTAATAACAGCTTCAATCACATGAAAATACTCTACCCTTTTACATCTCTCCTCCCACTCTGTATGCTATCTATGTCACAAATTTTACTTTTTATAACATATTCATTAACATATTTTAAAGGTATAGTTATTCTTTATAGTTTTGTCATTTAATTCTATAGCAGAATTAAAAGTGATTTGCATGCCACTGTTACAGTATTACAGTATTCTGTAATACTTTGTACTTAATGCTTTATACTTTTATATACTTTTATGTTGCTGTTTAGTGTCCTTTCATTCCAGCTTGAAGGACTTTCTTTAGCATTTCTTTTGGGCAGGTCTAGTGATAATGAACTCCCTCAGCTTTTATTTATCTTGGAATGTCTTTATTTATCCTTCATTTTTGAAGAATGTTTGGCTGGATATAGTATTCATGGTTGATGGGTTTTTTTCTTTCTTTCTGCACATAGACTATATCATCCCACTCTTACTTGGCCTGCAAGGTTTCTCATAAAAAATCTGCTGATAGTCTTATGATTATTCCTTTGTACATGGTGGGTCACTTTTTTACTTGCTGTTTTCAACATTTTCTCTTTGACTTTTCACAATTTGACTATAATGTGTCTTGACAGGGATTTCTTTAGATTTATCTTAGTTGGAGTTTTTCAGCTTCTTGAATATGGATGTTCATTTCCTTCTCCAGATTTGTGAAGTTTTCAGACATCATTTCTTTAAATAATCTTTATGGCACTTTCTGTCTTTCTTCTCCTTCTGTAACTTCCATACTGCATAAATTGATTGGCTTGGTAATATGCTGCAAGTCCCTACAGCTTTCTTTACTCTTTTTCATTCTTTTTTTTTTCCTTTGACTGAGCAATTTCATATGGAGTGTCTTCAAGTTCACTGATTCTTTCTTCTGTTTTATTAATGCTGCTGTTGAATCCCTCTAGTGAATTTTTCAGTTTGATTATTGTATTCTTCAGCTTCAAAATTTCTGTTTGTTTCTTTTTATATTTTCTATTTCTCTTTGTTGATATTCTCATTTTCTTCATGCATCATTTCCTTGAGCTCATAGAGTATCTTTATAATGGTTATTTTGAATTTTTGACAGATAGTTTATGTATCTTCAACTCTTTAGGGTTGGTTTCTGGAGATTTGTTCTGTTCCTCTTTTGGACCACATTTCCCTGTTTCTTTTGTTGTTGTTGTTTGTCTGTTTGTATTTTATAACTTTTTGTCAGGATCTGCACATTTGAAAAAATGGCCATTTCTCCCAGTGTTTACAGACTGGCTTTGTACAAGGTAAGAACCTTGCCAATCATTTTGGCTCAAGATTTGTGTCTATCTGTGGCACTGAAAGTTCTCTATTTCTACAGCAGGAAGTCACTTTACTCTCTCCTGTTCACATCAGCCACCAGGCAATTGGCCACATCCTGAGTCAGTCAATACAGATATCAATCCCTCAAATAGCCCTCTAAAAAGCCAGAATGCTGAACAATGCTCCATTGCTCCTCTCTCTGTCTCCTGAGGAGAAGTCTCAAGTTGTGCACCTTCTCCAAATTGTGTCAAGCCATGCCCTTTGCAGCAAACTGTTCCCTGCTTTTATTGTTCTCAGCAGTCCCCAAGAATCTAAATGATACCAGTTCTATTAGCACTCCAAATGAGGCAAGACAGAAACCAGCTCCTTGAGCAGCCCTTCAAAAGCTAGAACACTGGACACAGTCCTCTCTTCTCTTCCATGAGCTGGAACATTCTGTCTCAGGAGTGAGCTGTACTGACTTAGGGAAGTGCTGACATTGGTAAAATAAAAGGGCTCTTCTTATCTATTTCAATGTAGCTGTTCTTGGTTTTGTGCTTGCCTAGGGTACTATAGCTTCTTAACTGGATTCTCAAATCTCATAAAAGTATTTTGGCCCATATATCATTATTAAATTGGTGTTTCTATGGGAGAACAATGTCTCAGACTTCCTATTCTGCCATCTTGCTGACATCACTCCTCTGTATATATCTTTTTAATTATTGAGTTTTAGATCTCTTTCCTTCTATATTCAATGAAAAAAAATTCTTTTTTCTATTCTTTTCTTGATATCCTTGCAAATTTAGCATATATACCCAACAAATGTAAGTAATGGTTTATCTTTGTTTTTCAGCTTTTATTGTCTGGCTTTTTGACATTTGTATTCATCTCTTGTTAGCTTTCATGTGAATGTAAAATGTTTGATATATTTATCCGGGATGTCTAGGTTTTTGTGATACAATATTTTTCAGGATTTTTAGTCAGCTGTATTTCCAGAAACAGACCACCAAATACCTTTAGAAAGGATTAACTTTATAAAGATACTTCTTACAATTTCAGTGCATTTCAAATTTGATTACCATCAGGACAGATTTAATATCTTTCTGTATTGTTTTCTGTGTATTAGTGAACAGAGGTTATAAAATAATGAAACAAAGGAGAAATTGATGGGAAGATTGCTAACTCGATTTTTAATAGAGGGGAAATATATAACACAGAAAAAGAGGGTACTTTTACTTTGAGTAAGGCCACGGAAACTATGAAAACATTCTCAGTCTGTTTTCTCTAACCCTCAATCTTATTTATAAGCTCTTGTTTCTCCCTCGTCATTGTGATTGTTGGTTTTATGTGTCAGATTGACTAGGCTATTGAACCTCATTATTTAATCAAACAATAATCTTAGCTGTTGCTGTGAAGGTATTTTGTAAATGTGGTTAACATCTATAATTAGCTGCCTTTAAATAAAGAAGATTACTCTAGATAATGTGAATGGAACTCATCTAACCAGTTGAAGGTGTTAAGAGTAAAAAATAAGGTTTCCTGGAGAAAAGAATTTCTGCCTCAAGACTACTGCATCAGCTCCTGGCTGAGTTTCCAGCCTCTTGGTCTGCCCTACAGATTTTGGACTTATCAACCCGCATGATCACATGATCCAATCCCTATAAATAAATCTGGAGAAGCCTGACTCTCTGTTCCCTCATTTACAATAAATGTCATAATCTTCCCCTTCTCATAAAACCATCTCTTCCTCATCATCTCTGTTAACAACTGATTCTTTGAGTATAACTTTCCATGTATTAAAAACTTTGACATCTGGCTCAGCCTTTCTTTCCCAAATCATGTTATCCTCTTGGGTGACCCCAGAGTCCTTGTGGATGACCCATCTAACAACCTATTCTGTGCAATTTTTGACCCCTCAATTCTAGTGACTTTTCAACTTCAGACCCACAAACATAACCTGAACATCAGTATCCTGGCTTCAAGGAATCAGTGTCACCATGAGAGCCAATTCCATTGCAGTATTGCCAGGTACCAACAGGGTATAGATACCTGGAATGATGTCAGAGTCAGAACATGAGGGGACAGTAGCCCTCTTATGCATTTTGCTGTTCCTCAACTTACATCATAGAAACAGATAGGTGTTCACACCTAAGGAGAATCATTCATACCAGGTAATTTGGAAAGCTAACATTTTGGGTAGCATAAAACACTTATTTTATTTTGTTTTTTCTTCCCCAATTGAAAGAGTTATTCTCTCTGCCCCCGACTTTTGATAGTAGTATTTTCATGTACATATTTTTCTCATTCTAGTCTTCTAAATGCTTTCCCATTCATCTAATTGTACACTCCTAAGTGAGCTCTCATTTTCTCATTTCTACAAGATTTGCAATTTACATGACACAGTACCCAATTCAACATCGTAAAATTTCTAATGTCACAAAAATTACATTGAAAATGGGAGGAAATCACCTGTTTAAAAGTAAGAAAATGCAAGGACATCAACTATCCAGGGACATTAAGTTGAATTTAATACTCTATTCTATTATAGTTAACAACTAAGACAGAGAAGGAGAAAAATATTTGATTCTTAGAAGGATAGAAAAAAAATAAAGGAGCTTAGGGCCTGTGATAAATCCTAAAAAAGAGGAAAAATAAATACATACTGCACCACAGTGTCTACAAAGGATTTAGGACACCACGAGTAGTCAAATGCAGTTAAGAAAACTCGAAACCATCTAGTTTTAAGCAGAGACAAACAAAAGTAACAGCTTCTTCTCTTTTCTCCCAAATACCCAGAGAGTTAGAAAACCGGCAAAGGTAACTAATTTTCCTTTGCAAAGATTGAGAAGTAACATGTGTTTCTAGAAATCTCACAATGAGCATTCTCTTCATCACCACTTTCAGAAAGTACAGCCAAATGGATTATCATTTGAACACCAAGGAGCTTATCTCTTGAGGTTAGTCTATCATTTTCTGAATGTTCTAACCACTCAAAGCATTTGTAATAATGCCGTGAATAGAAGAACTATAGCATAGGTCTCTCGTGGCTGCAAACCAGAACATTGTACATGCCCCCAAGAGCATGTTTAATGTCATAATTCAGAAGAGTTAAGTTTACTTGTCAATTTCTCTACCCCTTAGGAGACATCAAAATGCTAAATTATCTATTAACAAGTTGTTTCTTAGGGTTATTTTAGGGTGGGAAATGGCAGGACAGTTTCCCAGGCTCTAAATGTCAAAGCCACCTTTGATATTTATCTCTTACCAGGCTCTCCCCAAACATGTCCTTTTACTAGCTCTTTCTTCACAATATCTCTTAGATCTTGCCCTTCTTTTCCATATTCACTGCCTCAGCCTGGCTCTGCAGTACATATCATCAAACTAGGAACATTGCAATAATAGCCAGGCAGTACTATTCCCACATTTATTCTCTAATATACCTTCCAATTTATTACTCACACAGAACAAAGATTCATATTTCTAAAACATATCATGTCAGTCCCATATTCATAAAACTTCAGTGATTGCCCTTTGGCTTTAAGATAAAGTGCAAAATATTGTAAAATGGTTTCTTGGCTGACTTGAGTAATTTATATACTTATATACAGCATAACATTTCAATTCTCTTTAGCCATACCAACAGTTCTCTTTGATACCAAGTACTTAAAAGCAGGAGAGGGATTATATATTGAATGAGTAGACCAGACAGGAAAAGAGAAGTGGCATGAAATTCCAGAGCTCTGGTTCCAAGTTTGAAGATTCACTTAGACTCTGGCATTCTTCCTCTGGAGGATGGGTGTGGCATATGGCTACCAGGGTGATATTGATGGATAAACCCCTATCTCTTCCAGGTTATGGAGAGCCAGAGGTTAGGGCTTTAACACTCAAAGCATGAGCCTAACTGAAAGGCTAAAAAACTTACTATGACTCTCAGTTTATGACAATGACTCAGACATTTTATAGTGCATAGAACTGCAAGGTTCCCGCTCATTAGAGCAAAGCTAGCTTTTACCTGGTCCCTCTCCCACAGGCTTTTAAGAATTAGAGGGACTCAAATCTCCTTTACTGAGTTTATTCTAAGACTCAGTACTAGAAATATGGTAAAAGGGGATCTCGACTCCCTATCTTACTTTTAGGGACACTTTTAAGAAATCAAAGCATATTTTTCAGAATGTGCATTGCTGACCAAAGTTATCTTTAATGTATAACACACGTTTGAGCCAAGCTTATTTACTATCTGAAACCTAAACATTAGTATGGCCTTTGCTATAAATGTTAGTACTGCTCTTTGGCTACAAGATAAAGTTCGAAAATATTGTAAAATGGTTTATTGGCTAATTTCAGCAATTTACAAACAGCCTAATATTTTAATTCTTTCTAGCCATGCCAGCTAAGGAAAATAACTCTAATAATATTCTGCCAAGGAAAATGCTAATTCACAGACAGATAATGAGGATATCTGATTTTTCAATTTTAGGAAACTTAGAGAACTTTAAGAAATACCTTTTTCAAATCTCCATTTTTCAATCAGTCCATAACACACTTTAATTTTTTTCAGCCAGCATTCTCTTAGTGTTATTTAAATGAGCTAATATATGCAAAGAGTTTAGAATCATGCCTGGCACACAACAAGCCTTATTCAAGTGTTTACTATGATTAATATATTATTATTATTGGAAGTTGTACAATCTCTGGATGAAGACAGACCTGGATTTGGAGTCTATGTCTGGACTCACTAGGCTGGGTGATCTTGGGTGAATCATTTAGTCCTTCTGGGTCTTGGCCTTTTCTTTTGCAAAACAGAGATAATAATAACTACCATAAAGAATTGGAAAATAAAATATAATGGAGCCAAAATACCTAGTACAGGACCTGGTGGTGTATACAGCAAGTGCTCCATAAGGAAAAGTTATTATTATTCATTGCTGTACTTTACTCTCCTTGCTCCCCAGACTAAAATACTTCTCACCCTCACTTCTATGCTCTCACTTGAATGAGGAACTAGACACAAGGGATTCATCCTTCTTCCGCCCCCTCCTCCTTAGATTTACCTGTACAACTCATTTGGCTCATACATGGCAAGCATAGTAAATAGTAAGAACTCAACCCCAAATTTGCTAGACATCAAAGCCTTCTTTAGAAACAGTGTTATTGAGATATAATTTACATGCCATACACTTCACTCATTTAAAGTGTGCAATTCAGTGGATCTTAACCTGTCTACAGAGTTTATCCATCACCACAATCTTCAGAACATTTTCATTATCCCAAGAGGAAACCCTACTCTCCTCAATCATCACTTTCTTGTTTCTCCATTCCACACACCCCCAGCCCTAGGCAACCACTAATCTACTTTCAGTCTGGACGGATCTGCCTATTCTGGTCATTTCATAGAAACAGAACTACACAATATGTGGTCTTTTGTGACTAACTTTTTTCACTTAGCATAATGTTTCCGAGGTTTATTCATGTTGCAGCATGTGTAAATACATGTCTTCTTATTGCTGAATAATATTCCATTGTATGGATATAACATCAAAGCATTTTTAGTTGTGCTTCTTAATTCAGTGTGCTACCTCTCAGAACATACTCCCCAGAGCCAATAATTTCAATGTGAATGCCTATAGCTCGGGTAGGCAAACTATAGCTCACCAGCTAGTACCAACCTTTTGCTTCTTTTTGTACAGCTCTGGAAATAACTTACATTTTTAAATGGTTGAAAAAAATTAAAAGAATAATATTTTGTGACACAGGAAAATTATATGAAATTTAAATTTTAGTGTCCATAAAAAAGTTTTATTGGAACACAACCATGTTCATTCATTTAGGTATTATATGAGTGTTTTCACACTACAATGACAGAATTGAGTAGGCGTGACAGAGATCACAAGGCCCACAGAACCTAAAATATTTACTATCTGATATTTTATAGAAAAAGTTTGTAGACCTCTGGCCTATAAGATCCAGGCAGGTGGTGAATTTGTGAAGTCAGTAGAGGTAATACAATAGAGAACAGTGGAAACTCTGGGAAAATATGTGAATGTCAAGTACATGCCACATATGTGAATGTATTCAAATATTGCCACACACACACACCATTTTCAGGCAAAATTCAGCTGCAACCTATCAGTTTCCTGCCTACTCCAATAGGCATAAAAGATATATAAGAACATAATCATTAATTAGTTTAAACATTTTTGAACACTTTATATCTTAGTTTGGGTTCCCTTAGGATTAGCCCTTGAAATAAGACAGAGCTCAAATGGTTTATTTGAGAGGTGATCCCAGGAAACACTAATAGGAGAGTGGGAAAATGAGACAGGGCAGGGAAGAAAACTAATACAAGATATGTGTTTCAAGAAAGTGGCCCTGTAGGCAACTACAGCTTAATTGCACTAAGTAAGTTCATGTAGAACACGCACCTCAGAGTTATACACCTCAGAGTTTTACCAAATGAGAAGATGGAGGGAAGCTGAGGTTTTATTTCACCAACTCCCATCAGTCAGCCAGTAGCTGAGGGCTCCTCCTGGAGAGTGTTAATTCTTTGCTTTCTGGCCTGTCATGTGCTGCAGAGAAGAACAGGCTGTGATGGTCAAGGAAATCCCTCAGGTAAAGACATACAAGTGCTGGCAGTTGTAGGTCAGGCTAGTATTCTCTGAAGGGTAGACACTGAGGGTATGGGGTGGGAGGGGGCTGACTGTGTCTCCTGCACTTTCTACACTCATACAAAAGGAAACAAATATAACAAATATTAATTGATGTTTTCCATGTACCAGACAGTGTTCTAGGCACAGAGATTACAGTTGTGAATAAAGCACAAAAATCCCTGCTCTCAAGCAATTTATATTCAGGTGAGAGAGAAATAGTAAATAACATAATAAATCATAGAGTCTATTGGAAAGGGCCAAGGACTGGAGTAGGAAGTGAGATGAAGAAGTTGGGGAGTGCCCTGCTAAATAAGGTGGTCACTGGAAAAGTGATATATGAGCAGAGTTCAGGTTTCTTGTTTTATCCTCCATTCTCCCCTTAAAGATATTTTAAGATAATCACCAAGTTTGAAGATTTTTAAAATCACTTCCAGATCCTGTCTTCCAGAGGAAGGGACTTTTGTTAATATTCAAGGACTCTCAGCAATGTTTCCCACTAATTAAGCTATAAGATAGAGACAGCTAGGAAAATAATAGAAAGGAAAAGAGAAACCAATCGTGACTGAGTTGTGACGCTAGGCAGCAAATTCTCCCTTTCCCCCATCTCTGCTTCCATTCTTTGTTTGTAGCCAAAAATATATCTTCACTGCAGCCTCTCCGCAGACACTGTACTCTTTCTAAAGCTTCTCCTGGCACCAGTAGTAGCAGGTGCCCACTAAAAGAATAACAAGCAGGCACCTCCGAGGAAAGTCTTGAGTGGAGAAATCCTTACGGCATGTAGAATCCAGAGCAAAGCAGCCTCTCTTCCTCTTCGAAGAACTCTTTCCAACTAAGGTCATTTCAGGTTTCACATGGTGGGTGTGTCTGTTCCTGACACATTCTCATGGCTCCTAAATTTGCTGTACCACAATGTACAAATTTGTACGATGAAATAAACTCCATAGGCTTCTTTCTGCCTCCAGCGCCTAACACAACCTCTTTAACACTCTCTTCTTCCTGCTTTTTCATGCTCATCTTTTGCTGTCTCCCAAGCAGCTGCTGGGCTGGAGATGGTGGTGGGCAGTGGGGAGAGATACTGCTGACACACAGGACTATCTTTGGCTTTTGGAATGTTCCGCCTCTGTAAAACCTTCCAAGATTATTCCACCCTCCTCAGGCTTCATCTCCTCACACACTTTTCAAGCAGAGTTAGCCTCTCCCATTCTTTGAAAGCATCTTTATAATAGCTCATTGTGTTGAAGTTAATTCTATACCTCTCTTGTAGCAGCTACGCTGTGACCATTCCCATCCATATTTTAGCAATTAAGGCCTTCTGCAGTCTGTCCTTCCTTCCTTCCCATTCGAGCTCATCATCTATTTTTTTTTTTTTTTTTTGCCACGAGCTCTCTGACTGACTAGTCTTCTCTGTTCTTTGTCTCTTTCATTTCCACCCACCTCAAACATTCTATGTTCATGAATCCCTTATGCTGTGGTCCACAAGTGATGATTATTTATAGTCTGTCCCTCTGAATTTTGGAACAATTGGTAAAAGTATATAGGAATGGAATAGGGTTCAAAATACCAGCTTCATTTCTAACTAAAGAGGCCTTGGCAAGTATGGCTGAAATCTAAAGCCAGAATGGACTTTCTACTTCTTTACCCCAAATCTAGAGCTTGGGATCCACTCAAGGGGAACTGGATCTGCAAAGAAGGTGCTCAGCTAGACAGGGAAACTTGGCCTGCCTCACACTTTGTCAAGCATAGATAGGCCAATAAAAAAAATGTCACACAGACCCAATGATTTCTAACCCATCAGCGCAGTCCTGTAGAGAAGCATGGACACAGGGTTGTCATAGTCTAACAATTCACCACTCAGGTAAGTAATTTATGTTCACACGGAGAACATTGTGTAAGAAGAATAAAAAAGAATGAACACATTCTCTTCAATACTCTCAGCAGAGTAGAGGTTACCATTTTATGGACTGTGACAGCATATGAGAGAGACAATTTATTCCCCCCTCAACTGTACATTTCTTTACTCATTTGCTTCCCTTATCCTGAAATCCCTCCCTCTTCCTCTCTGTTTTTACAAAACTTCCTCATCTATCAGGTCTGAATTTAAGTTCACCTTTTGTCTAAAGCCACATCTAGTCACTTAAGCCTACATTTCCTTTCTTTTGAATACTGCGTATTCATAAATGATCACTTAGTTTTATGTGTCTTTATGTTATTTACTATTTGTTTCATATGATCGGTCTCTCCAATTGGATGCTATGCTCATTGAAGGTTTACAATGTCCACTTCACCTTCTAACTCAGAGCACCTAACAATGCTTTGTACAAAGTAGGTACTCAACAGGTAGTTGTGGAGAGGGATGGAATGAAATGGGATGGAATAGAATGAAAAAGAATGGAATATGATAGGATGGGATGGGATGAAATTGCATGGAGATGGAATGGAAAGCTAGATTAAAACATAAAAAGGCCAAAAGTCAGTCAAGTACATGTTAAATAAAATGTTTTATTATAAAATGTGATTAAATATACATTGAAAGCTGTGATTTAATAGAATCCTTTAGGAGCCCAGACATCATGCCTTAAGAAGCAGAATCGCCATTTGAAGTTTACCAAGCCTACTTCCTTGCGTTTGAGGGAGGCTGCACTCTTATCTTCGCAGAACAGTAAACTGTCCATCCTGATGTCAAAGGTGTTCCACTATTGAGAATATTCCTCCTGCCCTAATGTGATTTCTCTTTAGAGAACTGAAGCCACGTCACAAATAATGTCTTATTTCCAAGGGGAAAGTTTAAAGTCAAGTTTTTATGTCCACTTCCCATGACCCTTGAAACCGACTCCAGTCAAAATTATGAAACTTAATAGGTTTATCTTTAGAGTATTTCCATGACTGTGAAAAGGCTCTGTCATTTTCCCCAAATACTACCTGCACTTCAAGCATCTAGTTGATGGGATATTTTTGGGTGAAAGGATCATTCCTGGTATCTCTCATACCACCTCACAAAGGCCTGAGATAGATCTTACAGAAAAATCCAGGTAAGCTGACTTAACTGAGGTAACAAGAGCTTCAGAGACAAGCATAGAACCAGATCAAAGCATTTCATAAATGCTATCAGACTCACCTAAAAAATATACACTTCTTCCCTAAGATTATTATATCCACACAGTCCCTGTTTTTAAAAATATATGTTGCTTTCAGGTCAATAACTATTTTGCAGTTTCCTTCTCTTCTTACAAATAAAAGTACAATATCCAAATAACAAGTATATAGCTCCAGATTTTTTTTTTATCAGAACAAACTTAAGGCTCAATGCCATATTGACAAATCAGTGTCAGCAAAGGCTAGAATGAGGTATAAAATAACAATAATGGGAGACCTTCTAGGCAGAGAGATGCAGACAACTATATTTATGACCCAAGCAAACTCTGCTTTCTAGATTTTTTAAAAGGGACATTGATTTCTTGGGCATAACATACATATATATACTTCAAAGATAAACCATATATATATTTTATTATTGGAATTATATATATTCCTATATATATATTTCTATACATATATATTCCTATATATATATATTCCTATACATATATATTCCTATACATATATATTCCTATATATATATATATATATTCCTACAGTGAATCTCTTTCCCATTTAGGAATTTGATTTTCAGACCCCTTTTCACATTACATTTAGGCAAAATAATATATCATAAACATAATCAATATAAGTTGTATGTTTTGATAAAGAAACAAATCTAGTATTACAACACTCACATGCATCCCAGTACATAACATTTTGGTAAGACGAAGTACCAAAGGTAGGTTAGAGTTAGTTTCCAAAGGTAGGTTAAAGTTAAAGTTTTTTTTTGCAAAAACACTGATGGTCTATATCATGTAAGTACTCCAGATAATGACCCATGTCCCTCCAGGATCTTTCTCCACCATTAGAGTGGTAGTATATATAGAACTATTTTGTCTCCTAATATGGACATCTGGATACAAACAGTGGCTACTTTTCATTGCCAGCTGTTTATGGATCTGCTAATGTGATGCTGTCTATTAAATGTCTCTGCTTCACTTCTCACTATCTTTACCTGCTCATTCAATAACATCTGTCAAAGCAGACAAACAGATGGCAGGAGCTGCATGTACTAGCACATGCTCAGTCTGCTGTAGGACATTTTTTCATCATATTTTCCAGTAGCCTACTGTCCAATGAGAGCCAGCACTGCCAGTGTAGATCAAGGAACAACAAATGTATAAATAGTTCTGGAGGAGGGAAAAAACTAGGAAGGGCTTGGGAATTGTTCTTAAATAAATGTAGTGAAAGAGAGAGGCCATGAATTGCTATCGGACCTGCAGAAATTATTTCCAGTTTATAAGGTTTTTGCTGGTCTCTCCCCCAATTATCCATGTGAACAGTGCTTCTTCCTAGGAATACTGCTCATGGCCAGCAGTTGTTTATGTCAATGGGCTACAGAACCCACTATAATTACCTGTCCTTCCACATACATACTGTATTAGTTCATTTTCACATCACTATAAAGAACTACCTGAGATTGGGTAATTTATAAAGAAAAAGAGGTTTAATTAACTCAGTTCCACATGGCTGGGGAGGCTTCGGGAAACTTACAATCATGGTAGAAGGTGAAGTAAAAGCAAGCACCTCCTTCACAATGTGGCAGAAGAGAGAGAGAGAGAGCAAGGGGAAAAGTGCCACACTTTAAAACCATAAGATTTCAAGAGAACTCATTCACTATGACGAGAACAGCATGGGGGAAACTGCCCCCATGATCCCATCACCTTGCACCGGGTCCTTCACTCGACCCGTGGGGATTACAATTTGAGTTGAAATTTGTGTGTGTGGGGGGGGGAAACTGAAGCAAACCATATCACATACACATACACATATACATACGACCACTCCAAAATGCACTGGTCTTCTACTTACTCAGCATATATTGGCAAAATCCAGTTAGAGACAGCCATCCAGGCAGAGATGTAGTCCATAAAAATGTCCCTTCCTTTGCCATGGCTATAATGAGAATTTCTCTTTTCTCTTCCTTACTGTTTCCTCTAGACTGGAATCAGCAACTTTTTTTTGTCTATAAGGAAGCATACAACAAAAATTTTAGGCTTTGCAGGTCCTATAAGGTCTCTGGTGCATATTCTTCTCTGTTTGTTTGTTTATACAACCCTTTAAAAATCATTGTTTTTAAAATGGTTTTATTAGCTCATGAACTATACAAAAATAGGCCATGGCCCAGAGTTGGCTAACAGGCCATAGTTTGCCAACCTCTGTCCTAGACTATAAGCTACCAAGTGAATTAGTCAGTTGTTGACATATAATGTTATTTAACAAACCACCCCAAAATTCAGTGATATACAACAATAAGCATTTCTTCTCCCACCACAGATTTGCAGATCAGCTAGGGGAGTTCTGCTTATTTCTCAGCCTTAGGACATACATGCATGCCCTAAGATTATTATACCCATAGAGTAACTGTTTTTATAAGATTTATTTCATTTTTAATTGATACATAATAAGTATACTTATTTATGGGGAACAGTGTGATGTTTCAATATGTATGTAGATCATGTAATAATCAAATCAGGGTAGTTAGCATATCCATCACCTCAAATACTTATCATTTTTTTGTGGGGAGAACATTCGAAATCCTCTCTTCTAGCTATTTTGAGATATACAATACATTATAGTTGACTATAATCACCTTACTGTGCAACAGAACTCCAGAGTCTCTGTTTTTAAAGGAATTTAGACAAGAGAGAATATAGCTGTTTTGGAAAAATGCATTTTTATTTACAAAGATAAGTCACAAAAGTTGAGACTCTTCTGTATTGGAAAGGAAACATCAAGCTAGTTGAATTTCTTCTATGCTTGCCATCCGATTTCTTTTAAATGATGAAGGTATTACATGTATTAGCACATATTATGTGCCAGGCACTATACTACTCCAAGCCTTATAAACATATAACATATTTAGTCACTTGGAACTATTATTTCCAAACCAAGGCTATTGCTCAAGGTTATACTTCTGGGAAATGGAGGAGTCTATTAATAACCAGGCTATATTGCCTTTCAAGATTTCTTTAAGGCCTATGATAATCCTCATGGCACTTTTGCTGTGTAGAATAATAAGATAAATACAAAATAGGGGTCTGTATTTAGATTTAAGGCTTCATTTTTTTATAAAACTAACTCTTTTGGGATACAAAATAAGTGTGTGAATTAGACTTACCTTTTTTATTATGCTCACATTGTGAGATAAGTTTATAAAGACTTTGACCTGTTTGAACAAAAGAATGACTGTATAATTACCAATCATTTTTGTTATGACAACCAATCATGTCTGTCGAAGGTTGATCATTTTAGACAAGCACATGTGTTGAACATTGAAACACATCTGGCTTTAGCTATTTGAATATAAATGGCTTAAGGAAAATTGCTTCTGTATTTTTATAACAGTTTATGTTGGAGTTAGTTTTTTTTGCGTTATAACACAAATAAAGTAAACTACGCAAAATGTGCTAATCATAAGTGTGCAGCTTGGTAATTTTTACTGTATACATACACATTTCCCCCAACCTTCCTTCTCCCCTTCTTATAAACACCAGCTAGGTCAAGAAATACAATATTTCCACTACCCTTCCAAATTCCTTCCTCCGCCTTCCCATTCTATAATCCTATATCCACTCACCCCCAGATAATGAATATTCTGTCTCTTATCTTCATCAGCTAGTTCACCTCTTCTTGAATTTGATATAATTGAAATCATACATATGCATTCTTTTGTATCTGGCTTCTTTCACTCAATGTAAAATATGTGGAGTGGATCCATGTTGTTATGTGTATCAGCAGCTTGTTCTTTTTGTTGTTATATAGATTTCCATTGTATGAATAAACTACCATTTACTTACTCATTCTTTTGTTGACTAGTATTTGGCTTATTTCCAGGATTTGGCTATTATGAATAAGGCTCTTATAAATATTCTTATATTTCTCTTTTTGTAGACACATGTGCTCATTTTTCTTGGGCATGGAAAAGAGTAGAATTTCTGGGTCCTCTGTGTTTAGCTTTGGTAGGGTTTTCTAAAATGATTATGTGGAGTCACATGGTGAAATACCTAAGAAAGATCTGTAACACTTCTTAATGACAGTGCTCTGGTTCAGTTGTAAATAAAGTTTTTACATCACACACACACACACACACACACACACACACACACACACACGCACGCACACAAAGCAGATAAGGGAGTGCTTGTGCCATCCCTGCCCCAAGCCCAGGATGCACAGCTCATGGGTCAAAAAAGACTCCTTCCTTCTGCTTGAGGACAGGAGAGAGAAGAGTAAAGAAGAATTTGTCTTAGATCTTGGATACCAGCTCACCCACTAATACACAGTAGAACAGTGTATTAGTCCATTTTCATGCTGCTGATAAAGACATACCCGAGACTGGGAAATTTATGAAAGAAAGAGGTTTAATGGACTTACAGTTCCACGTGTCTAGGGAGGCCTCACAATCATGGCAGAAGGCAAGGAGGCACAAGTCATGTCTTACATGGATGGCAGCAGGCAAAGAGAGAGAGAGCTTGTGCAGGGAAACTCCCATTTTTAAAACCATCAGATATCATGAGACTTATTTACGATCAAGAGAACAGCATGGGAAAGACCCACCCCCATGATTCAATTACCTCCCACTGGGTCCCTCCCACAACATGTGGGAATTCAAGATGAGATTTGGGTGGGGACACAGCAAAACCATATCAAACAGGGAACCAGTCACAGATATGAGACCCCCTTTCCAAGTCTTAGCTCCAAAACAACATTTCTAAACACATCCTGGGCCAGGAGTGAACCCACTGTCTTAAAGGGAAGGGCCCAGTCTTGGCAGGATACACCACCTGCTGTCTAAATAGCCCTTGGGCCCTGAGTAACCAGCAGTGATACCCAGACAGTATGCTATGGGCCTTGGGTGAGACTCTGAGATGTGCAGGCTTCAGATGAGACCCAGCACACTCCGAGCTCTGGTGGCTAAGGTGAGACATTCCTTTTGCTTGAGAAAAGCACAGAAAAGAGTAAAGAGAAGAACTTTGTCTGGCACCTTAGGTACCAGCTCAGCCACAGTGGGGTAGAGCACAAAGGGGCTCTTTGGGCCCTTCATTCTAGGCCTAGGTCTTGGACAGAATTTCTGGACCTGCCTGGGGAGAGAGGGGAGCCCACTACCCTGAAGGGTGAGTCACAGGCTTAGCAGCATTTACCACAAGCTAACTGATGATCCCTTGTGCCTTAAGTGAACTTTGGTGGTAACATGGCAGTACTCCCCATGGGCCTGTTGTGGTGATGGCCACAGAGTGAGACTCCTCTCCCTGTGGAAAGGAGGGGGAAGAGTGGGAAGAACTGTGTTTCATGCTTTGAGTGCCCAATCAGCTGCAGTACAATAGAACACCAGTTAAATTTCTAAAGTATTTGCCTCCAGTCCCTGGCTCAAGAATGGCATCTCTCAACCTGCCCAGGGCCTGAAGGAACTTGCTGCCCTGAAGGGAAGGACATAAGCCTGGCTGGCTTTGCCACCTGTGGGTCATAGAGCCCCAGGGTCATAGTCAGTTAGTGGTCACAGTGGGCCTTGGGTGAGACCCAGTGCTGTGCTGGCTCCAGGTCTGACCCAGCACAGTCCCACTGGTGGTGGCCACAGGCATGCTTACATCACCCCATCCCCAGGTTCAGGTGGCTCAGCTTAGAGAGAGAGAGAGAGAGGGAGAGACATCATTTGTTTGGAAGAAAGTAAGGGAAGATAAAAAGAAACACTATCTGATAATCTAGATAATTTTTCTAGATCTTATCTAAGATCACCAAGGTGGTACTTCTATGAATCTTCAAAAACCACAACCTTGCTGGGATGGGGGCCCAAGTGCCTTTGAATACCTGAAAAGCCTTCCCAAAAAGGATGGGCACAAACAAGCCCAAACTGAAGACTACAGTAAATACCCAACTCTTCAATGCCCAGACACAGACAGACATCCACAAGCATCAAGACCATCCATGAGAACATGTCTTCACCAAACGAACTAAATAAGGTACCAGGGACCAATCCTGTAGAAACAGAGATATATGACCTTTCAGACAGAGAATTCTAAATGGCTGTGTTGAGGAAACTCAAAGAAATTCAAGATAACACAGATAAGGAATTAAGAATTCTATTAGATAAATTTAACAAAGAGATTGAAATAATTAAAAAAGAAGCAGAAATTCTAGAGATGAAAAATGCAATTGGCATACTGAAGAATGCATAAGAGTCTCTTAAAAGAGGAATTGATCAAACAGAAGAAATAATTAGTGAGCTTGAAGACAGTTATTTGAAAATAGACATTAAGAGAAGATAAAAATAAAAAGAACAAAGCACCCCTACAAGATCTAAAAAATAACCTCAAAAGGTCATGTGTAAAAGTTATTGGCCTTAGAGAAGAAGTAGAGAAAGAGACAGAGATAAAAAGTGTATTCAAAGAGATATCAGATAATTTCTCAAACCTAGAGAAAGATATCAACATTCAAGTACAAGAAGGTTATAAGACCAAGCAGATATGGCCCAAGGAAGACTACTACAAGGCATTTAATAATCAAACTCCCAAAAGTCAAGCATAAAGAAAGAATCCTAAAAACAGGAAAAGAAACAATAACATACAATGGAGCTCCAATATCTCTGCCAGCAGACTTCTCAGTGGAAACCTTGCTGAAGGAAAAAGTTTTTAACCCAGAATGCTACATTCTATAAAAATCTCCTTCAAAAATTAAAGAGAAATAAAGCTTTTCTCAGGCAAACAAACGCTAAGGAATTTTATCAACACCAGACCTGTCCTACAAGAAATGCAAAAAGGAGTACCTCAGTCAGAAAGAAAAGGCTGTTAATAAGCAATAAGAAGTCATGTGAAGATACAAAACTCACTGGTAACAGTAAGTAAACAGAAAAACAGAATATTACAACCCTGTAACTGTGGTGCATAAACTACTCACAGAAAGACTAAAACATAGACAAATCAAAAATAATAACTACAACAGCATTTCAAGACAGACAGTACAACAGTTATAAATAGAAACAACAAAAAGATAAAAAGCAGAGAGACAAAGTTAAGATGTAGAGTTGTTATTAGTTTTTTTTTTTGGCTTATTTTTTCTTTGTTTGTTTATGCAAGTACTGTTGTTACCAGCCTAAAATAATGGGTGATAAGATAGCATTTGCAAGCCTCATGGTAACTTCAAATCATTGCAAGCCTCATGGTAATCTCAAATCAAAAAACCTACAACAGATACACAAAAAATAAAAAGCAAGAAATTAAATGATACCACCAGAGGAAATCACCTTCACTAAAAGAAAGAAAAAAAAAAGAAAGAAGGAAGAGAAGGCTACAAAACAACCAGGAAACAAATAGCAAAATAACAGGAGTAAGTTCTTACTTATCAATAGTAACATTGAATGTAAATGAACTAAACTCTCCAACAAAAAGACATACAATGGCTGAATGTACCAAAAAAAAAAAAAAAAGACCCAGTGATCTGTTGCCTTAAGAAACATACTTCACCTATAAAGACAAATGTAGACTGAAAATAAAGGGATGGAAAAAGATATGCCATGCCAATGGAAAACCAAAAAAAAAAAAAAAAAAAGCAGGAGTAGCTATACTTATAGCTTTTGTCTCGAAGTCTATCAGAAAAAAATAGATTTCAAGACAAAAACTATAAAATGAGACAAAGAAAGTCACTATACAATGATAAACAGGTCAGTTCAACAAAAGGATGTAACAATTGTAAATATATGTGCACCCAACACTGGAGCACCCAGATATAGAAAGCAAATATTATTAGAGCTAAAAAAAGAAATGGACCTCAATACAATAATATCTGGAGACTTCATTCCACTTTCAACACTGGACAGCTTTTCCAGACAAAAAATCGACAAAGATACATTGGACTTAATTTGCATACAGACCAAATAGACCTAACAGATAATTACAGAACATTTAATCCAATGGCTACAGAATACATTTTCTTTTCCTCAGTACATGGATTATCCTCAAGGATAGATCATGTGTTAGGTAACAAAACAAGGCTTAAAACATCCTCAAAATTTGAAATAATGTAAAGCATCAACTCTGACCACAATGGAATAAAATTAGAAATCAATAACAGGAATTTTGGAAACTATACAAACACATGGAAATTAAACAACATGCTCCTGAACAACCAGTGGGTTAATGAAGAAATCAAGAACAAGGTTGAAAAATTTCTTGGAGGTCTTTGGGATGAGGAGCCAAGATGGCCGAACAGGAACAGCTCTGGTCTACAGCTCCCAGCATGAGCGACGCAGAAGATGGGTGATTTCTGCATTTCCAACTGAGGTAACGGGTTCATCTCACTGGGGTGTGCCAGAAAGTGGGTGCAGGACAGTGGGTGCAGAGCACCTTGCATGAGCCGAAGCAGGGTGAGGCATCGCCTCACCCAGGAAACGCAAGAGGTCAGGGAATTCCCTTTCCTAGTCAAAGAAAGGGGTGACAGATGGCACCGGGAAAATCGGGTCACTCCCACCCTAATACTGTGCTTTCCCAATGGGCTTAAAAAATGGCACACAAGGAGATTATATCCCACACCTGGCTCGGAGAGTCCTACGCCCACAGAGTCTCCCTCATTGCTAGCACAGCAGTCTGAAATCAAACTGCAAGGTGGCAGTGAGGCTGGGGGAGGGGTGCCCGCCATTGCCGAGACTTGATTAGGTAAACAAAGTGGCCAGGAAGCTTGAACTGGGTGGAGCCCACCACAGCTCAAGGAGGCCTGCTTGCCTGCCTCTGTAGGCTCCACCTCTGGGGGCAGGGCACAGACAAACAAAAAGACAGCAGTGACCTCTGCAGACTTAAATGTCCCTGCCTGACAGCTTTGAAGAGAGGAGTGGTTCTCCCAGCTCGCAGCTTGAGATCTGAGAACGGGCAGACTGCCTCCTCAAGTGGGTCCCTGACCCCCGAGTAGCCCAACTGGGAGGCACCCCCCAGTAGGGGCGGACTGACACCTCACACAGCCAGGTACTCCTCTGAGACAAAACTTTCACAGGAACGATCAGGCAGCAGCATTTGGGGTTCACCAATATCCGCTGTTCTGCAGCCACCACTCCTGATACCCAGGCAAACAGGGTCTGCAGTGGACCTCTAGCAAACTCCAACAGACCTGCAGCTGAGGGTCCTGTCTGTTAGAAGGAAAACTAACAAACAGGAAGGACATCCACACCAAAAACCCATCAGTGTGTCACCATCATCGAAGACCAAAGGTAGATAAAACCAAAAAGATGGGGAAAAAACAGAGCAGTAAAACTGGAAACTCTAAAAATCAGAGCACCTCTCCTCCTCCAAAGCAACACACCTCCTCACCAGCAACGGAGCAAAGCTGGACAGAGAATGACTTTGACGAGTTGAGAGAAGAAGGCTTCAGACAACAAACTACTCCAAGCTACAGGAGGACATTCGAACCAATGGCAAAGAAGTTAAAAACTTTGAAAAAAAATTAGATGAACGGATAACTAGAACAACCATTAAAGAGAAGTGCTTAAAGGACCTGATGGAGCTGAAAACCAAGGCATGAGAGCTACCTGACATGCTTCTGACGAATGCAGAAGGCTCAGTAGCCGATGCAATCAACTGGAAGAAAGGGTATCAGTGATGGAAGATGAAATGAATGAAATGAAGTGAGAAGAGAAGTTTAGAGAAAAAAGAATAAAAAGAAATGAGCAAAGCCTCCAAGAAATATGGGACTATGTGAAAAGACCAAATCTACGTCTGATTGGTGTACCTGAAAGTGACGGGGAGAATGGAACCAAGTTGGAAAACACTCTGCAGGATATTATCCAGGAGAACTTCCCCAATCTAGCAAGGCAGGTCAACATTCAAATTCAGGAAATACAGAGAATGCCACAAAGATACTCCTCGAGAAGAGCAACTCCAAGACACATAATTGTCAGATTCACCAAAGTTGAAATGAAGGAAAAAATGTTAAGGGCAGCCAGAGAGAAAGGTCGGGTTACCCACAAAGGGAAGCCCATCAGACTAACAGCGGATCTCTCGGCAGAAACTCTACAAGCCAGAAGAGAGTGGGAGCCAATATTCAACATTCTTAAAGAAAAGAATTTTCCACCCAGAATTTCATATCCAGCCAAACTAAGCTTCATAAGTGAAGGAGAAATAAAATCCTTTACAGACAAGCAAATGCTGACAGATTTTGTCACCACCAGGCCTGCCCTAAAAGAGCTCCTGAAGGAAGCACTAAACATGGAAAGGAACAACCAGTACCAGCCACTGCAAAAACATGCCAAATTGTAACGACCATCAAGGCCAGGAAGAAACTGCATCAACTAACGAGGAAAACAGCCAGCTGACATCATAATGACAGGATCAAATTCACACATAACAATATTAACTTTGAAAGTAAATGGGCTAAATGCTCCAGTTAAAAGACACAGACTGGCAAATTGGATAAAGAGTCAAGACCCATCAGTGTGCTGTATTCAGGAAATCCATCTCACTTGCAGAGACACACATAGGCTCAAATTAAAGGGATGGAGGAAGATCTACCAAGCAAATGGAAAACAGAAAAAGGCAGTGGTTGCAATCCTAGTCTCTGATAAAACAGACTTTAAACCAACAAAGATCAAAAGACACAAAGAAGGCCATTACATAATGGTAAAGGGATCAATTCAACAAGAAGAGCTAACTATCCTAAATATATATGCACCCAATACAGGAGCACCAAGATTCATAAAGCAAGTCCTTAGTGACCTACAAAGAGACTTAGACTCCCACACAATAATAATGGGAGACTTTAACAACCCACTGTCAACATTAGACAGATCAACAAGACAGAAAGTTAACAAGGATACCCAGGAATTGAACTCAGCTCTGCACCAAGCGGACCTAACAGACATCTACAGAACTCTCCACCCCAAATCAACAGAATATACATTCTTTTCAGCACCACACCACACCTATTCCAAAATTGACCACATAGTTGGAAGTAAAGCACTCCTCAAAAAATGGAGAAGAACAGAAATTATAACAAACTGTCTCTCAGACCACAGTGCAATCAAACTAGAACTCAGGATTAAGAAACTCACTCAATCCCGCCACTGCACTCCAGCCTGGGCGACAGAGCGAGACTCCGTCTCAAAAAAAAAAAAATAAAATAAAAAAATAAAAAAATAAAAAATAAAAAAGAAACTCACTCAAAACCACTCAACTACATGGAAACTGAACAACCTGCCCCTGAATGACTACTGGGTACACAACGAAATGAAGCCAGAAATAAACATGTTCTTTGAAACCAATGAGAACAAAGACACAACATACCAGAATGTCTGGGACACATTCAAAGCAGTGTGTAGAGGGAAATTTATAGCACTAAATGCCCACAAGAGAAAGCAGGAAAGATCCAAAATTGACACCCTAACATCACAATTAAAAGAACTAGAAAAGCAAGAGCAAACACATTCAAAAGCTAGCAGAAGGCAAGAAATAACTAAAATCAGAGCAGAACTGAAGGAAATAGAGACACAAAAAACCCTTCAAAAAATTAATGAATCCGGGACCTGGTGTTTTGAAAAGATCAACAAAATTGATAGACCGCTAGCAAGACTAATAAAGAAGAAAAGAGAGAAGAATCAAATAGACGCAATAAAAAATGATAAAGGGGATGTCACCACTGAACCCACAGAAATACAAACTACCGTCAGAGAATACTATAAACACCTCTACACAAATAAACTAGAAAATCTAGAAGAAATGGATAAATTCCTCGACACATACCTCCTCCCAAGACTAAACCAGGAAGAAGTTGAATCTCTGAATTGACCAATAACAGGCTCTGAAATTGAGGCAATAATCAATAGCTTACCAACGAAAAAAAGTCCAGGACCAGATGGATTCACAGCCGAATTCTACCAGAGGTACAAGGAGGAGCTGGTACCATTCCTTCTGAAACTATTCCAATCAATAGAAAAAGAGGGACTCCTCCCTAACTCATTTTATGAGGCCAGCATCACCCTGATACCAAAGCCTGGCAGAGACACAACCAAAAAAAGAGAATTTTAGACCAATATCCTTGATGAACATTGATGCAAAAATCCTCAGTAAAATACTGGCAGACTGAATCCAGCAGCACATCAAAAAGCTTATCCACCATGATCAAGTGGGCTTCATCCCTGGGATGCAAGGCTGGTTCAACATACGCAAATCAATAAATGTAATCCAGCATATAAACAGAACCAAAGACAAAAACCACATGATTATCTCAATAGATGCAGAAAAGGCCTTTGACAAAATTCAACAACACTTCATGCTAAAAACTCTCAATAAATTAGCTATTGATGGGACGTATCTCAAAATAATAAGAGCTATCTAAGACAAACCCACAGCCAATATCATACTGAATGGGCAAAAACTGGAAGCATTCCCTTTGAAAACTGGCACAAGACAGGGATGCCCTCTCTCACCACTCCTATTCAACATAGTGTTGGAAGTTCTGGCCAGGGCAATCAGGCAGGAGAAGGAAATAAAGGGTATTCAATTAGGAAAAGAGGAAGTAAAACTGTCCCTGTTTGCAGATGACATGATTACATATCTAGAAATCCCCATTGTCTCAGCCCAAAAGCTCCTTAAGCTGATAAGCAACTTCAGCAAAGTCTCAGGATACAAAATCAATGTGCAAAAATCACAAGCATTCTTATACACCCATAACAGACAAACAGAGAGCCAAATCATGAGCGAACTCCCATTCACAGTTGCTTCAAAGATAATAAAATACCTAGGAGTCCAACTTACAAGGGATGTGAAGGACCTCTTCAAGGAGAACTACAAACCACTGCTCAATGAAATAAAAGAGGATATAAAGAAGTGGAAGAACATTCCATGCTCATGGATAGGAAGAATCAATATCGTGAAAATGGCCATACTGCCCAAGGTAATTTATAGATTCAATGCCATCCCCATCAAGCTACCAATGACTTTCTTCACAGAATTGGAAAAAACTACTTTAAAGTTCATATGGAACCAAAAAAGAGCCCTCATCACCACGTCAATCCTAAGCCAAAAGAACAAAGCTGGAGGCATCACGCTACCTGACTTCAAACTATGCTACAAGCCTACAGTAACCAAAACAGCACGATACTGCTACCAAAACAGAGATATAGACCAATGGAACAGAACAGAGCCCTCAGAAATAATGCTGCATATCTACAATTATCAGATCTTTGACAAACCTGACAAAAAAAAAAAAGAAATGGGGAAAGGATTCCCTATTTAATAAATGGTGCTGGGAAAACTGGCTAGCCATATGGAGAAAGCTGAAACTGGATCCCTTCCTTACACCTTATACAAAAATTAATTCAAGATGGATTAAAGACTTACATGTTAGACCTAAAACCGTAAAAACCCTAGAAGAAAACATAGGCAATACCATTCAGGACATAGGCATGGGCAAGGACTTCATGTCTAAAACACCAAAAGCAATGGCAACAAAAGCCAAAATTGACAGATGGGATCTAATTAAACTAAAGAGCTTCTGCACAGCAAAAGAAACTACCATCAGAGTGAACAGGCAACCTACAGAATGGGAGAAAATTTTTGCAACCTACTCATCTGACAAAGGGCTAATATCCAGAATCTACAATGAACTCAAACAAATTTACAAGAAAAAGACAACCCCGTCAAAAAGTGGGTGAAGGATATGAACAGACACTTCTCAAAAGAAGACATTTATGCAGCCAAAAAACACATGAAAAAATGCTCATCATCACTGGCCATCAGAGAAATGCAAATCAAAACCACAATGAGATACCATTTCACACCAGTTAGAATGGCGATCATTAAAAAGTCAGGAAACAACAGGTGCTGGAGAGGATGTGGAGGAATAGGAACACTTTTACACTGTTGGTGGTACTGTAAACTAGTTCAACCAGTTTACAGTCCCTGAGGAAATCAGTGTGACGATTCCTCAGGCATCTAGTACTAGAAATACCATTTGATCCAGCCATCCCATTACTGGGTATATACCCAAAGGATTATAAATCATGCTGCTATAAAGACACATGCACACGTATGTTTATTGCGGCACTATTCACAATAGCAAAGACTTGGAACCAACCCAAATGTCCAACAATGATAGACTGGATTAAGAAAATGTGGCACATATACACCGTGGAATACTATGCAGCCATAAAAAATGATGAGTTCATGTCCTTTGTAGGGACATGGATGAAACTGGAAACCATCATTCTCAGCAAACTATTGCAAGGACAAAAAACCAAACACCGCATGTTCTCACTCATAGTTGGGAATTGAACAATGAGAACACATGGACACAGGAAGGGGAACATCATACACCGGGGACTGTTGTGGGGTGGGGGGAGGGTGGAGGGATAGCATTAGGAGATATACCTAATGCTAAATGAGGAGTTAATGGGTGCAGTACACCAATATGGCACATGTATACATATGTAACACACCTGCATGTTGTGCACATGTACCCTAAAACTTAAAATATAATAATAATAAAATAAAAAAAAAAATTTCTTGGAAAAAAATGATAATGGAAACGCAACATACCAAAACTTATGGGATATAGTGAAAGCAGTACTAAGAGCGTAGTCCATAGCTATAAGCACCTACATTAAAAAAGAAAAAAAAAACTTCAAATATATATACCAATAAATTGGAAAATTTAGAAGTGGATAAATTCCTAGACACATACAGCCTGCCAAGATTAACCATGAAGAAATCCAAAACCTGAACATACCAAGAGCAAGTAACAAGATCAAAGCCATAATAAAAAGTCTCGTAGTAAAGAAAAGTTAGAACCTGTTTGCCTCACTGCTGAATTCTACCAAACATTTAAAGAACTAATGCCAATACTGCTCAAGCTATTCTGAAAAATTGAGGAGGAGGAAATACTTCCAAACTCATTCTGTGATGCCAGTATTACTCTGATACCAAAACCAGATAAAGGAACATCAGGAGAAAACAAAACGAAACTATAGGCAAATATCACTGATAAATGTTGATGCAAAAATCCTCTAAAAATATTAACAAAACAAATTCAAAAACATATTTAAAAGATGTTTTACACGTTGATTTTGTATTTTGAGACTTTGCTAAAGTTGTTTATCAGCTTAAGGAGCTTTGGACCTGAGACTATGTAGTTTTCTAGGTATAGAATTATTGGCTGGGTTTGGCGGCTCAAGCGTGTAATCTCAGCAATTTGGGAGTCCGAGACAGGCGGATCAGCTGAGGTTAGGAGTTTGAGACCAGCCTGGCCAACGTGGTGAAACTCCGTCTCAACTAAAAATACAAAAATTAGCCAGGCATGGTGGTGCACACTTGTAATCCCAGCTACTAGAGAGGCTGAGGCAAGAGAATCGTTTGAGCCGGGGAGGCGGAGGTTGCAGTGAACTGAGATCACATCACCGCACTCCAGCCTGGGAGACTGGTGTGAAACTCAGTCTCAAAAAATAAAAATGAAAATAAAATAGAATCATCGTCTGCAAACAGGGATAGTTTGACTTCCTCTCTTCCAATTTGGATGCGCTTTATTTCTTTCTCTTGCCTAATTGCCCTGACCATGACTTCCGATACTCTGTTGAATAGGAGTGCTAAGAGAGGTTCCTTGTCTTGTGCCAGTTTTCAAGGGGAATGCTTCTAGCTTTTGTCCATTCAGTATAATATTGGCTGTGGGTTTGCCATAGATGATTCTTATGATTTTGATGTATGTTCCTTCTATACCTAGTTTATTAAGAGTTTTTAACATGACGTGTTGTTGAATTTTATTAAAAGCCTTTCCTGCATGTACTGAGACAATCATGTGGTTTTTGTATTTAGTTCTGCTTATGTGTTGAATCACATTTATTGATGTGACTATGTTGAACCAACCTTGCATCCCAGGGATAAAGCCAACTTGGTTATGGTGGATTAGCTCTTTGATGTGCTGCTGGATTCAGTTTGTAAGTATTTTGTTGCAGATTTTTGCACTGATGTTTATCAAGGATATTGGTCTGAAGCTTTCTTTTTTTGTTGTGTCTCTGCCAGGTTTTGGTATCAAGATAGTTCTGCCCTCATAGGATGAGTTAGGAAGAAGTCCCTCCTCCTCAATTTTTTGAAATAGTTTCAGCAAGAATGGTACCAGCTCCTCTGTGAACATCTGGTCGAATTAAGCTATCAATCCATCTGGACTTGGGCTTTTTTTTTTGGCTGGTAGGCTATTTATAACTGACTCAATTTCAGAGTTCATTATTGGTCTGTTTAGGGATTCAGTTTCTTCCTGGTTCAGTCATGGGAGGCTCTATTTGTCCAGAAATTCATCCATTTCTTTTAGATTTTCTAGTTTATGTGCACAGAAGTGTTCATAATATTCTCTGATGGCTGTAAGTATTTCTGTGGGGTTAGTAGTAATATCCCCCTTGTTGTTTCTGATTGTGTTTATTTGAATCTTTTCTCTTTTCTTCTTTATTAGTCTAGCTAGTGGTCCATCTAGTTTATTAATTTTTTTTTAAAAAACCAGCTCCTGGATTTGTTGATCTTTGGAATGTTTTTTTCATGTGACAGTCTCCTTCATTTCAGCTCTGATTTTGGTTATTTATTGTCTTCTGTTAGTTTTGGGATTTCTTTGCTCTTGGTTCTCTAGTTCTTTTAGCTGTGATGTTAGGTTGTTAATTTGAGATCTTTCTAACTTTTTGATGTGGACATTTAAGGCTATAAATTTCCCTCTTATCACTGCCTTAGCAGTGTTCCAGAGATTCTGGTATGTTGTATCTTTGTTATCATTAGTTTCAAAGAACTCCTTGATTTTTGCCTGAATTTCATTATTTAATCCAAAAGTCATACAGGAGCAGGTTACTAAATTTCCATGTAATTGCACAGTTTTAAGTGAATTTCTCAGTCTTGATTTCTAATTTGATTGTTCTGTGGTCCAAGAGATTGTTCATTATGATTTCAGATTTTTGGTGTTTGCTGAGGAGTTTTTACTTCTGATTATGTGATCAATTTTAGAGTATGTGCTATATAGCAATGAGGGGAATGTATGTTCTGTTAGGGTGGAGAGTTCTGTAGATGTCTATCAGGTCCACTTGATCCAGTGCTGAGTTCAGGTCCTGAAGACTGGATAAAGAAAATATGGTACATATACACCATGCAATGCTATGCAGCCATTCAAAAGAATGAGATCACATCCTTTGCAGGAACATGAATGGAGCTGGAGGTGATTATTCTTAGCAAACTCATGCAGGAACAGAAAATAAAATTCCACTTGTTGTTACTTATAAATGGGAGCTAAATGATGAGAACACATGGCCACATAGAGTAGAATAACACACTGGGTTCGCTCAGAGGTTGGAGGGTGGGAGGAGAGAGAAGATTATGAAAAATAACAAATGGGTATTAGGCTTAACACTTAGGTGAGTAAGCAATCTGTGCAACAAACCCCCATGGCAAAAGTTTACCTATATAACAAACCTACACATGTACCCCTGAACTTAAAAGTTAAATTTAAAAAAATAAAAAGATCTTTGTACATTGATTTTGTATCCTGAGACTTTGCTGAAGTTGCTTATCAGCTTAAGGAGATTTTGGGCTGAGACAATGGGGTTTTCTAGATATACAATCATGTCATCTGCAAACAGGGACAATTTGACTTCCTCTTTTCCTAATTGAATGCCCTTTATTTCCTTCTCCTGCCTAATTGCCCTGGCCAGAACTTCCAACACTATGTTGAATAGGAGTGGTGAGAGAGGGCATCCCTGTCTTGTGCCAGTTTTCAAAGGGCATGCTTCCAGTTTTTGCCCATTCAGTATGATATTGGCTGTGGGTTTGTCATAGATAGCTCTTATTATTTTGAGATACGTCCCATCAATAGCTAATTTATAGAGAGTTTTTAGCATGAAGTGTTGTTGAATTTTGTCAAAGGCCTTTTCTGCATCTATTGAGATAATCATGTGGTTTTTGTCTTTGGTTCTGTTTATATGCTGGATTACATTTATTGATTTGCGTATGTTGAACCAGCCTTGCATCCCAGGGATGAAGCCCACTTGATCATGGTGGATAAGCTTTTTGATGTGCTGCTGGATTCAGTCTGCCAGTATTTTACTGAGGATTTTTGCATCAATGTTCATCAAGGATATTGGTCTAAAATTCTCTTTTTTTGGTTGTGTCTCTGCCAGGCTTTGGTATCAGGATGATGCTGGCCTCATAAAATGAGCTAGGGAGGAGTCCCTCTTTTTCTATTGATTGGAATAGTTTCAGAAGGAATGGTACCAGCTCCTCCTTGTACCTCTGGTAGAATTCGGCTGTGAATCCATCTGGTCCTGGACTCTTTTTGGTTGGTAAGCTATTGATTATTGCCACAATTTCAGAGCCTGTTATTGGTCTATTCAGAGAGTCAACTTCTTCCTGGTTTAGTCTTGGGAGGAGGTATGTGTCGAGGAATTTATCCATTTCTTCTAGATTTTCTAGTTTATTTGCGTAGAGGTGTTTGTAGTATTCTCTGATGGTAGTTTGTATTTCTGTGGGATCGGTGGTGACATCCCCTTTATCATTTTTTATTGCGTCTATTTGATTCTTCTCTCTTTTCTTCTTTATTAGTCTTGCTAGCGGTCTATCAATTTTGTTGATCCTTTCAAAAAACCAGCTCTTGGATTCATTAATTTTTTGAAGGGTTTTTTGTGTCTCTATTTCCTTCAGTTCTGCTCTGATTTTAGTTATTTCTTGCCTTCTGCTAGCTTTTGAATGTGTTTGCTCTTGCTTTTCTAGTTCTTTTAATTGTGATGTTAGGGTGTCAATTTTGGATCTTTCCTGCTTTCTCTTGTGGGCATTTAGTGCTATAAATTTCCCTCTACACACTGCTTTGAATGTGTCCCAGAGATTCTGGTATGTTGTGTCTTTGTTCTTGTTGGTTTCAAAGAACATCTTTATTTCGGCCTTCATTTCGTTGTGTACCCAGTAGTCATTCAGGGGCAGGTTGTTCAGTTTCCATGTAGTTGAGTGGTTTTGAGTGAGTTTCTTAATCCTGAGTTCTAGTTTGATTGCACTGTGGAATTTATCTTAGTGATGCAAGGATTGTTCATCATATTCAAATCAATCAATATAATATATCACATCAGCAGAATGAGGAATAAAACCCATATGATCATTTCAATTGATGCTGTAAAAGCATTTGGTAAATTCAACATCCCTTCATGATAAAAACCCTCAAAAAACTGGGTATAGAAAGAACTTACCTCAACATAACAAAAGCCATATATGACAGACCCACAGCTAGTATCAGACTGAATAGGGAAAAACTGAAAGCCTTTCCTCTAAGATCTGAAACACAACATGGATGCCCATGTTCACCACTGTGATTAAACATGGTACTGAATGACTTACCTAGAGCAATCAGACAAGAGGAGGAAGCAAAGGGCATCTCGGTTGGAAAGGAAGAATTTAAATTATCCTTGTTTGCAGATGATATAATCTTATATTTGGAAAAACCTAAAGACTCCATTAAAAAATGAATAGAACTGGTAAACAAATTAAGTAAAGTTGCAGGACACAAAATCAACATACAATAATCAATAGCATTTCTGTATACCAACAGCAAACAATCTGAAAAATAAGTCAAGAAAATAATCCCATTTAGAATAGAGACAAATACACTAAAATACTTAGGAATTAACCAAATAAGTGAAAGATCTCTACAATGAAAACTTCAAATCATTCAGGAATGAAATTGAAGAGATCACTAAAAATGTAAAAAAGGAAAGCTCTTCCATGTTCATAGATTGGAAGAATCAATATTGTTAAAATGTCTATAATACCCAAGGCATTTTACAGATTCAACGCAATCCCTATCAAATTACCCACATGCCTTTCTTCACAGAAATGGAAAAAATAATTCTGAAATTTATATGGCACCATAAAAGACCCAGAATAGCTAAAGCTATCCAGCAAAAAGAGCAAAACTGGAAGAATCACATTACTTGACTTCAAATTATACTGCAGAGCTATAATAACCAAAACAGCATGGCACTTGCATAAAAACAGAGACATAGACCAGTGGAACAGAATAAGAAACCCAGAAACAAATCCATACAACTACAGTGAACTCATTTTTTTTACAAAGGTGCCAAGAACATACAATGGGGAAAATATAGTGTTTTCAATAAATGGTGCTGGGAAAACTGGATATACCTATGTAGAAGAATGAAACTAGCTTCCTATCTGTTGCCATACTAAAATGCAAAATCAAAATGGATTAAAGGCTTAAATGTGAGAACTGAGACCTCAAACTATGAAACTACTACAAGAAAATATTAGAGAAACTCTCTAGGACATTGGTCTGGGCAAAATTTCTTGTGTAGTACCCCACAAGCAGAGGCAGCCAAAGCAAAAATGAACAAATGGTATCACATCAAATTAAAGAGCTTCTGCACAGAAACAAGAACCACAACAACAACAAAACAATAAAGTGAAGAGGCAGCTCACAGAATGGGAGAAAATATTTGCAAACTACCCATCTGACAAGGGATTAATAACCAGAATATACAGAGAGCTCAAACAACTCTATAAGAAAAAAAATCTGGTTAAAAATGGGCAAAAGATCTGAATAGACATTTTTCAAAAGAAGACATACAAATAACAAACAGGAATATGAAAAGGTGCTCAATACCATTGATCATCAAAGAAATGCAAATCAAACTACAGTGAGACAGCATCTCACCCCAATAAAAACGACTTTTATCCAAAAGACAGGCAATAACTAACGCTGGTGAGGATGTGGAGAAAAGGGAATCCTTGTATACTATTGGTGGGGATGTAAATTAGTACAACCACTATGGAGAGCATAGTGAAAAAACTATAAGTAGAGTTATCCTTCAATCCAGCAATCCCACTGCTGGGTATGTGCCTCAAAGAAAATAAATCAGGATATGGAAGGGGTATCTGCACTCCTGTGTTTATTGCATCACTATTCGCAATAGCCAAGATTTGGAAGCATCCTTTATCCGTCAGCAGACAAATGAATAAATAAAATGCAGTATGAGATAGAGAGTAAAAGGATGCTTATCAGAGGCTGGGAAAAGCAGTGGGGGTGGGTTTGGGGGGAGTGGGGATAGTTAATGGGTACAATAAAGCAGTTAGAAAGAATGAATATGAACTAGTATTTGCTAGCACAACAGGGTGACTATGGCAAAAATTTTTAACAATATATATAAGATATTCTCTTCTTCACAAAAGATCTTTATTTAGTGAACTTACTTCTTTATGGATTGATTGGGGTAATGGGAGTAGGAGTCTTTTACTAAGCTCTGAGAGGATGGCTGGAAGTATCTTGGCCCTGACATTAGAATGTAGGGATAGATAGCTAACAGCTATGGTCCTCAGCTTTGGAACTCTAATGCAAATTCAGACAACAGAAATATTTTTCAACATAAGTTTTATGGAGCATTTGACATATGGAAGTAGTAGAAGGACAAACTGGACACTATTCCAAAAAAAAAGGAGAGCCAAAATATATGTGCAATGAAGTAGCATTGTTCATAATTGTAAAAAAAAAAAATGAAAAAACCTGAACATCCACCAGTAGAAAAAGTTAAATAACTATGGGGCCTCCACACATGGTAATATATCAAATATATAATGCTTTCAGAAAATGACGTGTATATATCTATACTAACTTGGAAAGGCTGCTAAGCAAAACATCAAACATCAAGATTCAGGATATAGAATAAAAGTTATAGAATCTAGAATAATTCTATAATATGCATACACATAGACTTAGACTTTAATATATATTAAAATGTAAATACAAAAGCCATTACCTGCCACCTCACCCCACAATACTATCTCCTTCCTAAGGAGGATTTTTATTTGTTTGTGTCTCTCTGATCCTGAATCTTTGTGGTGGTGTTTAGAGGTAATAGGTGAAAATGCCAATTAAGGGTAGCTTAGAAACTCTAATTTGATTCTCATATAGGCAGAGTACGGAGCTACCTGAGGAAAGAAGAAATAGGTAGGCTGGAATTTTTTGAGAGAGGAAAAAAGACATCATGGTGACTTTGAAGGAGAGAATTGTTTAAAGAGGAATTTTTGGAAATTCCTGTGTGTATAGAGAGTATGGGGGTATTATTTCCCACTCCTCATTCTCTGTTCAAGGTGCTTCAGTAAAAGCAGATATTAGATTTTAAAGCATTAGCTAGTTAAATTTGGATTTCTTATGGATATGACGTTGTGATGAGACCAGTTTAAGGTAGTAGCAAAAAGGCTTTGTTTTATTTGTAGGAGATATATATATATATATAATTTGTAGGATATATATGTGTTAAATATTACATTATTTATTATATAGGGTTAGGGTTAATATTGTATTTTTTATTACATATATTTTATAGGCATAGAAAATGTTTTTAAAGTGTCCAACAAACCATTGATAGCCACAAATGGTTACTTCTAGTAATTAGGTTGAGTGGAAATATTGGAGAGGAATGAAGACATGCTTTTTTTTATTGTATGTTTCTTCTATACATTGTTACTTGTTAACAGCAGGACTATATTGTTTTATAATAAAAAAAAGAGTAACAAAGAAAACGGAAAAAGTATGACCTGTTCTGGGGTCAATTAATAGAGAAATGTGTGGCTGGATGTTAGATTCTTGAGCTGAAAGGAATGTTTAGAGATAAGACTAAAATGGTAAGCTGAAAACAGATTATATACCTTCTGCTTCATCAAAGACGTACAACTTGACCCTGTTGGCAGTAGAGGACTTCAGAGGAATATTTTTGCCCTGAAATAACATGACTAGAACTGTGATTTGGATAGAGAACACACTTTCTCTTCATGATGTGTTTCTAACATCATTTAACTTACTAGTTTTTTCAACTCTTCTTTACTTCTTTCATTTTTGTTTGTTTCTAAATAATTATCTCATGAGCACAGTAACTGAAGCATCTGAATAATATATGTAGTAAATTATTTGGAAACTATAAATAATTATATACATGTTAGTTATTTTATTATTATTATAACTTTATCCAACTTTAATTCATGGTTTATGTCTTTAAATCATTGTTTTCTGATTTATTTCTGGGTTGCCAATTATGGTCTCATTACATAATTGCCCCATGAAGCTTTCTGTATTCTTTTTTAGTATCTCTCAGTTTAGTGTTCCATTCCAATTAAAGTTGTGTGGAATTTTAAATAACATTTCCAGCACCGTTTACTTATTCTTTTAATGTTTGCATACGCCTTCCTTTTCTGCTTTATGTACTACTATTTGTAAAACCCTACTATTTTTCATGATTGTCCATTATTAAACAAGTGCTCATTTCATCACAGGGAGAGGGCATGCACAAGTATCAGACAGTGCCATCTGATATGTGGTATTAGAGACCTGTTATCAGGAAAAAGAGGCATTCAGGGCAACAGCAGAATTGTGATTAGAGGTGATGTAACTGAAAGACCTATGTAATGTCAGTATGTATCTCCCAGTTAGTTAAATCTTAACAAACGTTCCAGGACTTTCTGAACCTCAGAGAAAAGAGAATGTTTAGCATTAATCAAACAAATTCCTAGCAGATAGCAAACATTAGCCGTGTACCTGAAGCAAAAGGAAGAAAGCAAAAGGAGAGGTAGTCCAATCTTTGTTTTGAAACATGAATAGACTCCTTTTTTTTATTATAAGAAGGGAAGACCATTTTAATCAAGACATTAATCAAACTCCCACTAACTCTTTTAAGAAAAGAAAGATCTACAAAAGCCAGTAACTTGAGCTACTTAAGCTGTTTCCCTCTTAAAGGGCTTAATGATAATTCATTTTACCTCCAGTTAAGTCCAACCACACTACTCACTACACGCCAGAGAGAGGCTCATCCTAGATAATAATTCAGAGAATCAAACAAATTTGCTAGATTCTCCTGGTAAGAAATCTCATTCCACATTAGTCTCCTGGAAAAATCACAGGTAGAATTTTCCCAGAGAGATATAAATGATGGCACTTTGGACCTCATTTACCTCCCCAGAAATAGTGAAGCCAAGCATTCTGTCAACTGTACAAATATGTTCAATGAGCCTGTTTGAAAGCTAGCAAAGATTTTTTAAAATTCAGATTTGCCTGCCGTTAATATCTGTTTATACTCATATCAACCTATTTAAAAAATATGTTTATAATTGTCATTGTGGTATTTTACACATTATCCGTTGATAGTAATTTCATTTTCAGTTTCAGTTTTTAGGGGTACACAATTTAAACAAGGAATAGTTAATACACTGAATAGACCAAAAGCACTGTTTTGTGACTCCTGGGGTTTTGGGGGAGGGGGTGGAGGGATTACGGATGCGGTGTTTTTTGGAAGGCTAGAGATTACAAAGCAGGGTGTTTAAAAACATACGCAAGAAAATATAATTTAGCAGACTTCCATTTCAGGTTGTATATCAGATTATATAGCATGAACTACCCTCTCTACTGAAACACTAAAATTCTTGATTAAATAGAAAGGGCACCCTCATTGTTGAGCTCAAATAAAAGTAGAAAATCAGTGGAACCAAAAAAAAAAAAAAAAAAAAAAGCTACAGCAAGAATCCAGAGGAGATGGGAGTGGAGTCAGTGCTAAAGGCAATTTTCAACCTTGAGTTTTTGCCAAACTTTGGAGACTTTGAGCTTCTTCTTTTCAGGACTGCATATGATGTAGAGGATAGGACCAGGACAGTTTCAAATGGAGTTTTCTCTAATTCATTCCCCACATATGCATAGGGCTCCAAAGGACTACACCCCCCATAACCATGAAATAAGGGTGAATTGAAAATTAAACACCTTTCCAAAGGACAGAAATAAAACTTGGCTATCATTAAACTACTACTAGCTGATAAGAACATAAAATACTTCCTAAGAATTCATACTACTTATATTGTCCAAAAACCTCAAGTGGGAAATTAAATTGACTGTAGTACAGGTTTGGCACCATTCCCAACAGACTGCAGGAGCAAATAGAAATTTGTTCCAGAAGAACTCAACTTCAATCCAGACTTTTAAGAATTAGCAAATACAAAGTTTTAAATGAAAATGAACATTTCAGAGTTAAAAATCATAAAATATACCGGAAACAAAGTATCATAAGTGAGAATCAGAAAAACTGACAGGCAGTAGAACCAGACACCATGAAGCTTGAGATATTAGATTTATCAAATACAAAGTAGAAAATATTGATGTTTATAGAGATAAAAGAACAAGGTGAAAGCAGATATGACAACAGCCAACTAGAACTTCTAGAAGTGAAAAATAAAAAACGGATTTTTAAACTTTTCTGTTTAAATAATTATAGATTCACAGGAAATAGTAAAGGTAGTACAGAGAGGTCCCATATTGGGTCCCTTCACCCAATTTCACCCAATATTTACATCTTACATAACTATAATGCAATGTCAAAATCTGGAAATTCATATTGGTATAAAGCATGTACTTCAGGGAGAAAGAAAATAAAAAGTTCTATGTCATTTAATCAAAGATATAGAATCTATAACCACGATGGCAATCAAGATACGGAACTATTCCATTACCACAAAGAACTCCCTTTTATAATCATATGCATCCCCTCACCCTGCCCCTTTCCTAACCCCTAGAAACAAATGATCTGTTCTCCTTCTCTATAACATTGTAATTCTGAGAATGTCATAAAAAATGGAATCGTACAGTATGTGATCTTTTGAGTTTTGCTTTATTCACTCAGCATAATGCCTTTGAGATCCATTCAAGTTGCTGTGTGCACCAATAGTTCATTCTCTTTTATTGCTGAGTAGCATTCAGTGGTATAGATGTACCATAGTTTGTTTAGCAATTATAGGACAATTTGGCAGTTTCTAATTTTGGGCTATTATAAATAAGTTGCCACAAACAATCATGTATAGATTTTCCTCTTTGTGTGGATATAGGTTTTTATTTCTCTAAGATAAACGCCAAGCAGTGTGATTGCTGGGTCACATGATAAATATATGATAAATATATGTTTAGTTTTTTTTTAAAGAAATTGCCAAACTGTTTTCTAGGGTGGCTGTACCATTCTGCATACCCATATTTTCCTATCATCCTTTCCAGAATTTGGTGTTGTCACTATTTTCAAATTTAGCTGTTCTAATAGTTGTGTGGTAATATCTCACTGTGGTCTTAATTTACATTTCCCTAATGGCTAGTGATACTGAACACGTTTTCATGTGATTATTTGCCATCTGTATATCCTCTTCAGTGAAATGTCTTGATGTCTTTGCCTGTTTTCTAATTGGATCATTTGGTTTTTAAGTGTTGAGTTTTGAAAGTTCTTTATGAGTTATAGACATGAGTCCTTTGTTGGATATGTGGTTTGAAAATATTTTCTCCTAGTCTGTAGTTCATCTTTTCATCCTCCTGACAGGATTTTTACAGAGCATAAGTTTTTAATTTTGATAAAGTCAAAACTGTCAAGCTAGAATTGTCTATACTACACAACACTATTTAAGGAAAGGGGTAAAAATAAAGACATTTGTATGCATATAGAGATTCTCAACAATGGGGTACTTCCTGACACCTCTGCGGGGGATTTGTGTAGAAGAATTTGTGGTTGTTAAAACATCCAGAGATTTTGCTTTCAGCATTTAGTTGGTGATAGCAAGGGATGTTAAATATCTTGCAATATGAAAACATTCTTGAATGACAATGGCTTATTTCACTCAAAATGCCAATAGTACTCCTTTGAAATATACTGACAGAAAGAAAAATTAAGAGTCTACTAAAACAGACCTACACCAAATGCACTTCTAAATGACGTACCTCAGAAAGAAGAAAAATAATTTTTACGGAAAGTTTGAAATGCAGAGTAATCACAAGAGGGGAAAAGGTGAATATGAACCAAATTTAAATAATTATTATTTTATAAAATAACCATAGCCATGTATAATTTGACGAGCTGAAAAAAAACACAGAACTAAAATATTAGACAGTAATAGCAATTAAAGTGGGAAGGGGGATTGTTGAAATTAAACTTCTAAAGTTCCCATTATCATTCACATTGGTGTTTAAATAAAAGTTTACATTAAATATGCATAGTAAAATTTCAAGGGTAACCCCAAAACGAATAAGAGATAGAGTTTGAAAATGACAGAAGACAAAGAAAAGTATGAATTCCCTCAATCATATTTTATTCAAAAACAGGTCAGACAATTTTAAAAAAGACTTTTTTTCCAAGTAGTGTAGGCAACCAGAATATCCATCACAAAATATGTTCCTTTGGCAGAAGGATAATTTTGAGCTAAAGGCAATTGAGAAGAAACAGATGCAAGAAAAGCCCTCTGTTCTCCTTTCATTTGTCCTAAAATCAGGACAAAAATTTACAAAGGCAAAAGTGTCTTTTCTCTCTACCAGGAAGGACAAAGGTTGATCACCAAAGACAACTTTAGATGCTTATCAGTCTGAAGAAGGCACCAGAGGAATCTACATGGCAAACTTATTAACTAGGCTTTACCTAATATATTTGCCTTCCCACAATCTGTCACTCCTAGAGATTAAACTCCTTTTTCTTTGTCTTGTCATTGCTCTAAAAATTTACTATTCTTTGTTAAAGATGCTAAATAAACCAGAGTTCTAAGCTACTTATTTGAGAATTACTTATTTCCTGGGTATCTCCCATGTGTATATAAAATATACATGCTAATAAACTTCTGTTTACTTTTCTCTTGTTAATCTATCCTTTGTTCAAGGGGCCCCACCAATGAACTTAGGATGCGCAGAAAAAAAAGTATTTTTCCTCTACTACAGTAGGATAAATAGAAATAAAAAGTAAGATTGTGGTAGTAAGCCCTATATATAAATAATCTCATTAACACAAACATATTAGTTAGCTAATAAAAAGACAGAGACTCTCAGAGTAACTGAGAAAAAAAAATCTAGCTGTATGCTGTTTGCAAGAGGTGGAACTGAAACAGAAAATTATGGAAAGGTTGCAAGTAAAAGAACATAAAAGAAATAAAAAACAGTAACCAAAGTAAACCTGGGCTTGTCCTATTAATATCAGTCAAACAGTCGATAACAGAGGTTGTCAAACTACAACCTAATCTAGCCATTGCTTCTTTTTGCAAATAAAGTTTTATTGCAACCCAGCGGTGTCTATTTGTTTACACCTTATCTATGGCTGCTTTCATGCTACAAAGGGAGAGTTGAGTAGCTCTGACAATATTGTAGGGACCCCAAAGCCGAAAACATTTACTATCTGGTCCTTTATGGAAGACGTTTGCTGATCTCTGGTCTGTAAGATAAGAAGGGAAGGTTATTTCAAATCACTACATCACCACATATGGGCAAAAGCTTTCCTTTTTCAATAATATATAACAATTTAAAATTTGTACATGTTTAATAAACTACCCCCAAAATGCAGCAGTGGACCATCTATAAGTCATAATAAATAGTACAAATACTCCAAACAAAGTGCCATATTCACTTCAGGCTGCCTGAGTTTCTCTTTGACTGCCATATCAGCCTGTAGACTGGGGTTAGACAGGATCTAAGTAGATAGTCAAATTACAATCATAGAGACCTGAACCTCTCCTTTTGTAGAAACTGCTTTTAGGTATAAACAAGCTTACAGAAGTGTGCTTTGAAGGAAAGGAGGGTATAGGGGAGGGAGAAACTTGCTTAACAAAGCCAAAACCAGGGTCAGCAGGCACCAATAACCAATCAAACCGAACTTTAGTTTTGTGAATGGTACTGTGATGAATGAGGCAATAAATAATATCTAGTCCCAATCTTCAAATAGTTTATAATCTATTTAAGAAAACAGGAGCTAATATATACTTGGGGGAAAAATTAAATAACCAATTATGACATACATAGAATTCTAAATCAAAAATACAAGAAAATTTCCAAGTTAACCAGTTGAATATTATTCAGTAATGCCAAAGGATCTCCAAGGTTAGAGTGAGTCTTCTGCGTTGCACTTCAGAGGGCTTTAGACTTAGGGACTTTATGGATCCCTTCAGGTACACAAAAAATATCCAAAGGGAATGTGGGCATGGGTAACTAAATAAAGCAATTTCCAAATCCTCAATTCTCCTATGTATTCTTTCCTAAAATCAATCTAATGGAGAATGTGCCTGCCATAATTCTACTGTTCTTTTCCGACTTTTGCTTTTAAATCATACTTTTTCCATTTTACAAAAAGAAAAGCTTACTTCTCAATCATCCTGAACCTGATTATTGGGCACTGATTGCACTGGGTGTGGAAACTTTCCTATTGCCAAGCAAAGGATAATTCAAAATATTGATTTTATTGTTGCCAAAGTGAATGATTCTAATGAGAAGCTAACAAATCCCTTGTCAAGTCAGTTTCTAACTCTGTGCTTTTGACAAAACTGAAAAAAAACTTAATCAAGTTGCTCATTGATAGATCAATAAAAGTAGCTTTTGATGATAAAGCACATGTAACGTTTGTGGTATAGCATCCAGAAGATATTCAAAAAACGAGTGACATTGCTGTAATTAAACTCTTTTTCTTCTTATCTACCTCTGTATGGTGCATACATACATAACATGTAAAACTGGAAGACGATTGATGCTGGCCCTTCCGTCATTCCAGCAATAAGTAATAATCATCTTTAAACACACATTAAAATTTAAAAAAGCCTCATTCTTATCATTAAGAGATGAATTCTCTTTAAAATTTTGTATTTTATGTTGAATGATTATCAAAATGTTTAACATATTTGTATTATCTTGGTCATATAATAGTATTTGCAAGTCAAGAGGTTTGGGAATTTTCAAACTCCTTAAGAACAGTAAAGACCCCTCCCATAAAAACACTTTAAAGCCTCCTACCATGCCTGCATTTTTATCTGTTCCTTTATTTTTTCATAATTACAGATATAGATTATTGTTTAAATACTTCAATGTGTTGCAATTAAAATTGTCACCAAAGCAACAGTTATAATGGCTCATCATGCGCAGTGGGGCAAGCATGTGGGGTAGCATATGGCGCTGGGAAGAGTTAAATATCCAGAGCTGTGAACAGCCAAGCTTTGCAACCATCTAAAATATTTTCTTTAGTTTAGAATTTGGTTTTCATTAGCTAGTGTCTCATCTCCAGTTGATTTGAGATTTTTGTCTTATAAGTCAGAGTTTATTCTCAAGCCTATATCAGCTGTAGTTTAGATAAATAAGATGCTAAGTATTACCAAATCTTGGCTCAAACTCAGCTAATTTGGCTCCTACGAAGTGCCCTGAAAGATGGAGGGAATGGCAGAGGTATGGAGAATGTGCAGACATGAGACAGGCAGATTGTTTACACATGCAGGCACCAAGATAGGTTAATCTGGATCAGGTGGTGACAGTGGTTTGGCTAAAGAAACCAACAGTGAAGAGTGGCGTGACCATCCAAAGCAAGAAATAGAAGTTGGATGTGAGTGATCAGAGTTCCTGTGTTGGCACAAGTCAGAGACAGTCAGGAGCTATCATAAATAGGATGGACGCATGATTCAGTAATGGAAGTCATTCCTTAAAAACAAGGCAGGCCTCAAATTCCCTGGGGAGCAAGGTAGGGTCTAAGCAAATAAATATGTAGTGATTACAAGGCAAAATACATTGATAGTCTTAAGAAAAGTTCACTGAAGTTTTCATAATGATTTATATTTATTTGTTGGAGTCAGAAAAGGCTTCCTCTGAGATGTGACATTGAGATGGGCAGAATTGTTGTCTGTTTGTTTAAAAAAGTCCTGCAACACATTCACCTCATGCCCATGATCCTTTACCATTAATATACTTAGAAGCTTGGTGGGAGGTTATGGCTTAGGAAAAATTGCACAGAAAAAAATTCTCCATAACAAAAATAGCAGAAGGACATTAAGACCTGGGATTGCCAGTAGTCAAGTCTTAGTGGTTGGGTAAAATGTGTAATATAACCATCTTGTATTCTCCCTAAACCATAAAGCATGATACAAACAAAAGCTATAGTTCATGGTTGCTTTGGGAAATGAGGAGACAGTTCAATGTTCCATGTTAGGATTGGCAGAGAGGGAAGAGGTCTTTTATTGGAAATGACATGTGAGGATATAGAGCTTCACTGGCCAACAGACAACTAACCACATGTGGATATTGAGCACTTGAATTGTGGTTGGTGCTGTATGTTGAAATGATAATATTTTGGACATATTGGGTTTTAAAAGATAAAATATTAAAATTAATTTCACTTATTTAATTTTACTTAATATGGTTATCAGAATATTTTAAATTACATATGTGGTCTTCATATGATGAAACCACACATGTAATTTAAAATATTTCTATTAATCAGTGTTGAATAGATCAATTGATGACATGTAGAAATGTGTCCATCTTATAGAATTCTTAGAAATATTGGGAAATACTGTGTCCCACAATATGGGATATGAACTCAAGTAATTTTATTTAAGTATTAAATTCAAGGTAATCTCCAAAGTTTGAAGAATTTGAGGGTACACAGATACAGGGATTACATAAATTATTTTTAATCCTATAATTATTTTGTATCTTAATAAATGATAACATTTAAAATTTGCTAATGAAGGTTAGAAATGTGTAAGTTATTTCATTACTTTAAAAAAACCTATATATTCTCATAAAGCAATAGCATCCTGCTGTTTAAAGAAACTCTGCACTGTATTCTAAGTGTAAAGATGTTCCCAGTTCTCTCTTAACTGCCGTATAAACAGTAAAATTATCCCCTCACAGTGTCTACAACATAGCATCTTTGGTGGGAGAAAAATGACAAGAAATAGTCAATAAAATAGTTTTGTTAGTAGAATTGTTTATTCTCTTTCCCCTCCCTGCCTGAAGCAAGAAGTATTGGAAGAAACAGCATGATAGGGCTAGCCCTTAGTTCTACAGAAACTAATAAATATTACGACTGATGTTTGCCTCTCTTCTTCCTTTCCCTTGGATATAGTGGTGAGTAATGTTTGTTAAAAACAATGCCATTCCACCTGGGAAAATTCTGAGAAAGAGCTTCTGAAATGATGTTCCAACATATTTTTTTTCTCAAAATAGCACTGGATTTTTGCATGTAGAGATGAGGAAAAGGGATAAGGATAAACAGAGGAAACCACTTCTATTGTAACTCTCCTCAGGAAAGTTAAAAGAAATCAGTATAGAATAGTGGGATTTTAAGTATGGTGTAAGACTAGTCTTAAGTACAATCAATCAATCTGGAAACCTATGCCTGGATAATACCTTCAAATTCAGATGGCCTACCTTCCATTCTAGGCTGAACAATCTAGGCTGAACAATCTAGATAGGACCCAATCTAGGCTGAACAACAAGGTTTGCTACTTGGAAATACATCCAATGGAGATTCTAAAATAATCAACTTTCACTGTTTGGAAATTCTTTCTTATATCTAACCTTATAGGAAGCTACTGTGCAGAATGGGATATTTCTTTTTTTCTGAGCTATTAAAATTTAAAAAAGTTTTTTAATTAAAAAGTTATCTGGTTAGCACTGGAAAGTATGCTCAACACTTCCCTTTGAGTTCAGAACTAGCCCTTGTTCTATTATGTGATTATGATGAAGATCCTACTTACCTCATACATCAGTTTATCCCTGCTTCACATTACATTTCTTTTCCTGATGATCATTTATTTCTTTATGAACTCCTTTCTCCTACCCTTCCCAGGACCAATTACCCTCTCAATCATCCCCCTCTCCCCCCACAATCATCCTGGAACATTCTCATCTTCTCTCTGGCAATGAGCAATCAAGGCACCCATGTTAAGAGCTATCCTAAATGGCAATGAAGTCTATGTGAGCTCTTCGAATACACTGGTAATTTCTTTTGACACAAGAAAGGAAATGTAATATCCAGTTTGGGTTGTCTCTGTAGGAGACTTGTTCCCTTCATCCTTTCAAGGAGTACATGGCTACCTGGCTCCTCCACATGGTGCTTCAGTGCTTCAGAGAAGGTTGGCTCCATCCCTAGCCTCAGTGGATGACTCTTGAGTTGATAAAGCCAAACATAGTGATTTTGCCATCATCTCATTCTGGCCAGTGACTGGCCAGTGAGATATGAAAGAAAATCTTGTGGTCAAGTGGGACAGAGATATATTTGACAAATGTTTCTTACCTCTTAAAAAGGGAAAGTAAAAACATGTAGACACCTTTCCTGCCTCTGAACTCTGGTGTACCAAAAGGTGATGGTGGAGCTACTGCAACCATTTTATAATCTTGATGGGAGCTACCATACAGAACTTTAAGAATCTGGGTCCATTGAACAATTGAAATAATAAATCATGGACCCAACTTCCCTCCAGATAGTTTATCATGTGAAATAATAAATGCCCTGTGGCTTAAGTCATTTTAAGTTCAGTTTTCTGTTACTTGCAGCCCAAAACATTCTAATGTATGTGACAACATAGCACATAACTCTGAAAACTGGTGCTGATTAAGCCATTCTATCTGTGCTTATATGCCACCATAATATTAATAATTTTTAGTTTTCTTCCATTTTTCAAAATGGCCTTAGGAAAATCTCTAAGTTTAGGCTTAAAATGGATAGGCTAATAAATAAATGAGAATTTACAGACTTTTAAGATGGAAAGAACAAATTGTGTTTTTTCTCTCTCTTTCTCTGTCTCTGTCTTTCTCTCTCATCAGCTTGTCATTCTTTTTCTCTGCCCAAACCCCTCCTTTTCCATTTCCCACACAAGATTTTAGGTCCACTTCCTGGCTGCTTCGTCTACCAGAGCCCTCTCTTCCATCAGAGACTGATTTGCCTAGACCCCTGATAGTTGCAGCAAATATAGCCTGGGCAACATAAATAGTGGTTGTAGCAGCAGTAGCTGCTGCAGATGCTTTCTAGGAAATACAATAAAGAATCAAGATTGGCTATTGGGAAAGCTGAAGGGACATTAAAGCATGACTCAACCAAAGTTATATGTAACATCTGTGCTTTCTCTATGAAAAAGTCATTTTTGCTAACAAAATTTCAGAGGCTAAAATTTCAGTTAAAAAAAAAATCAAGTACAAACAGGACTCAAAAGAGGCTGTTTGAGACTTCTGATTCTTTCAAACTTGTCCTTAGGGGAACAAGTCATTTGGTAAAAAAGATATTTATAATTGAGTAATTCCTTAACATCATCAGATTTATATCAAGAAGCCTTCACTGAATGCCTAGTGTTAGCTCATCCCTGTGCTAGGTGGTTGTCGTGGACATAGACGATAAGAAAGAATTGTTCTCTTCTCTCAGGAAGCTCAGACTTGGTCCTGCCAATAGCTAAAAAGTGCTAAATTAAAATACAAATAGGGGCTAGGTGTGGCGGCTCACGCCTGTAATCCCAGCACTTTGGGAGGCCAAGGAGGGAGGAAGGCTTGAGCTGAAGAGTTCAAGACCAGACTAGGCAACATAGTGTGACCCCTATCTCCTAAAATAAAAGGAAAAAATGTATAAATAGGGTTCTTAGTGAGCAAAAAATGGTCAGTTATCAGTGCTGACTTGAGTACCAGGAGGTGTTTCACAAAGGAGGTTGCATTTGGACTATATCATAAAGGATGAGTAAGATCAATAGGGAAGAATGGAATCCAGGTGTGTAGATTTGAGTGGCAAAAATATACTACTTGAATGAAAACAGAGATGTAATTAGGTTGTATGGTTTTTATGACTTCATCTTTGGAAGTTAGATAAACAATGAAATTCATTTTCTCATCTTTCTTTCCCTGACTTGCCAGATGTTAGGATTTCTCCCATCTTTAGCTATTGTTCAGCTCCTCAGTTTGAGAGCTGCAATTTCAGTCTTACTGTCTGCTCTTTGTGTAACAGTTCTTATATAAAATGCATTCACAGTCCTTTTTCTAGTACTTATTTTTGATGCAGGGAACAGGTGGAAGAAGCCAAAGTCATTTCTCTTTATGTACCATTCAAAATGTAGGGGAGGGAGGTGGATGCTATGACATATGACTGTTACATTGTTTTCATTTCAATCATTTGATGGTTTTGAAGAAGTAATAGCCATTTTCCCTCATTTATATTTGAACAAGAAAGGGTAAATTACCATCAATTTTCTGTCTTTTTTAAATTTTTTTCCAGATTTTAAACATGATGATTTGATTTAACTTTTTAATATGAAAATAGTACTGACATAATATTGTTCTTTGGCATTTGCTCAGTCCCACCTCCCCAGATTTTAGTCTTGTCAATATATAACATGCGTATGTTAAGCATCTATGTGTGTTAAACCTAGGAAGTACAAAAATTACTACAGTGGGAGATAGATCATTAAACTTATAAACTTAAGCAACATCATGATGATGATTATTGGTCTAGATGAGATATAGTTTGGGTTTAAATTTGAGATCCACTACTTGATGGCAATGTGATCTTGGATAAGTCATTGCAGCTCACTTTACCTTAATGTCCTCATTTTTGAAACATGATATCAACGTTTAGTTCCTAAAGTTACCATAGAGATTGCCTAAAATAATGTTATATCAGGAACTTAGCACAGTGTCATAGAATAAATGGTGACTATGGTCATTATATACAGGGTGCTACACTTGTAACATGGCCTGGAAAAGTCAAGAAAAATCTCACAGAAGAGTCATTATTTGCATTAAGACCAGTAAAACAAATAGGGCTGCCTAGAAGACAGGGGCATAAAGGGTGTTCTGGGCAAAATGAGCAACATGTGAAAAGGCAATAAAGACAATAAGTGGTTTTAGATCATCTGAGGAACTGAAAATGTTCTGGTATAGCTTAAACTCAGAGTAAATGTAAAAGAATGGGGGTCAGGACAGACGAGTAGGTAGATGAGGCCAAAGAAACAGGTAGAGGCCCAAACACAAAAGCTTTTGTATGCCATTTTAAAACATTTATTTATTAACTTGTGGCTGATTGAGAATAACAAGAGTTTTAAATAGAAAAGTGGCATGATGTATTAGTGTGTTCTTATGCTGCTAATAAAGACATACATACCCCAGACTGGGTAATTTATAAAGAAAAAGAGGTTTAATAAATTCACAGTTTCACATGGCTGGGGAGGCCTCACATCATGGCAGAAGGTGAAGGAGGAGCAAAGACACATCTTACATGGTGGCAGGCAAGAAAGTGTATGCAGGGGAACTCCCTTTACAAAGCCATCAGATGTCATGAGACTTATTCACTATCAAGAGAACAGCAGGGGAAAAACCCACCACCATGATTCAATTACCTCCCACCAGGTCCCTCCCAGGACACATGGGAATTACGAGAGCTACAATTCAAGATGAGATTTGGGTAGGGACACAGCCAAACCATGTCACATGGTCATATTTTCATTTAGAGTCCAGGGCAAAGGGACTAAATATGAAGGAGGGTGATACTAGAAGCACAGTGGCCCTTAGAATCTGGCTATTGCAATAATCCATTTAAGAAACTGAAGGGACTGAATTGAAGTAGTGTAATAGGCACATAGAAGAAGTGAAGGGTATAAATCAGCAAGGTCATCAAAGATAGGCCCTTAAAACTAATAGTAAAGAGCAGGAGAGTGGAGAGAAGGGAGAAACATCTAGGATATCTCCCATGTTTCTAATTTAGAAAACTAGGTAAATTGAGAGGTCATTAACTTAAGTTGGAATAAAAACTCAGTTTTGAACATGTTGAGTTTGAGAATTTATGTATAAGTAGCAGTCAAATCTAAACTAAATATGACTTAATTATGACAAGAATCTATTATAAAGAGTCTGACTCCACTTTTGATGTTTGACTGCTGAAAGCTTTAAAACCACACCACTCCCTCTTTTCCTACAACTGGGCAAGTTGAAAAGAAAGCCTGGATGCCCCCTACTTTGGTGTTAGGGGAAAATGCAAACCATGTAAGCCTCAGTCCATGCAAGGGAATCTTCACTACAGTCACACCACTTAACCACAATAAACTCCAAAGCCAGTCACTCTTTCCTGCTCTGTGGAGCCATTTTTGGACATGTTTGGGAATCCAACCTGCTCTCTTCAGAAAGTTTCATTATATGAGTAATAAATCTCTTCATACCCACTTGGTACACGTGTGGTGTCATCATTCTAAATTTCCAAACCAATTTTAGATGGAACAGCCATTCTGCCTCTGCTGTATAGTAACAACAGGGTCACATTGTGTCCATTATGTAAAGGTTCAGTGTTTTGTGTCTTTCTCGTGATAATATATAACCTTTGGATACTTAGGTGATTAATACCATAGCAATGGAATCACCCAGACTTGGTACATATAATGTATAATCTGTATACATAAAGCCAAAGGTGGTCAGGGCATGGAGAAGCCTGAAAGAAAACAAGTATTGGAACATCAGGCAGAAGAAGAGGAGCTTATGAAGGAGTCTGAAAAAGACTTGGTAGAAAACTAGGAGAGAAGGAATTCAAGTTAGAAGAATATTTTAAGAAGGAGAAAGAATTTGTCAGGGTCAAATGCTAAGCAGGATTCAAATTACATTTGAAAACCTATTGGTTTGGTAAATAGGAGGTGACTAGCATAATAAAAGTGCTGTTTGATTCACAGAACATCTCCATATGGGAAGAAACAACTGTATCTCAAAGGTTTGAACAATGTTATTCTTGGTCTACTTTTCTTTCAGAGAATTTAGTAACTCTCACTGAGACAATCATGTGGTCTATGGAATTTAACTTCCTGAATAAATCTGGATACTTTGCTCTCTTCCTGAAAACAATTATAGAATAATTAAACAAATTCCTTAAACCAGATTTCACTTAAGTTTCAAGGATAGCAAAGTTTAGATAAACATAAAGTAATATGAAACTAGAATATCTAGCTCAAAGGTATAACATGCTGCCAGAAATCACAGGTTTTTTTCCTCTCCTAAATTCTAGTCTGACTCCCAGTCTTCAACACCAGCTTTGGACCCACCTAGATATCATCGCTTCTAAAATTCTAGAACCAATACAGCCAGCTCAGCAGCTTTGTACCAGAGTTAAGGTTTCCCATATGAATGGAGCTTCATGTCCCCTGTGGGTTCACAAACTCCAGTTTCATATTATACGCCAATCTCAATCAGTGTCAGTGGTTGCCTGAAGTTCTGGGTTGAGGAGGATTCTAATGTCACAATGGAGTTTGGTGTATTTTCTGACCTGAAATTTTTCACAGTGAGCAGAGATTTGTTCTGTTGTCTGCTGAGTGGCCATAACCACATCATGCAATCCTGTTGACTCGTTGCTTTGCCTTTACACTTCACAAGCTTCCCTGTTCTGCCTCCAGTTTCACAACTACAGGATCTATCTCAGTTACATCCCAAAGCCAGTATGTGGCTTACAGTTTTTGTATGAAGTTCTTTTTAATATACTCCTGAACCATCTAAGAAATAGGCAAAATTAGCAAGCACTCCCCACACTATGGATTAATTGTTATTTGAGTCAAAGTGCACGTTCAAAGTTGTTTGTTTTTCTTATTACATACAGGAGTTATTTATTTTTGTGGGTTAGAATCATTGGCTATGGAATCAGACAGAATTTTACTCAAATCCAAGTTTCACCTCCTCCAAGCCATGTAATTCTGAGTGAGATATTTAACTTTTATTTACCTGAGCCTCAGTCTCTACATCTATAAAATGGGGATTAAAATTTTCTATCTCATACAGTTTTAAGAGTGTATGTGTGTATGTATGTGTGTGTGCGTGTGTGTGTTTATGCTTAGTGCAACACATGACACAGAAAAAAACTTTACAAATGACAATTATAATCTAAAAAACTTAGGTGGTAATTGCTATTATTTATTAGACCCATTTTATAGATCAGGAATCTGTAAATCTATTTCAAGAAGATAAGTAAGCTGTCCAAGGCCATGTAGCCAGAAAGTAGTAGAGTTGAGATTTCCAATGAGATCATTTGATTCCAGGGCATGTAGCAAAACTTCTGTGTGTTGTTAGCTCATAGCAACTCATTTCCTGCACTGTCTTTGCAGATCTAAACTGAGCTAACAGAGTAGCAGAAATGATGCATTCAAGTATTGTGGACATAATTGATTCATTATGATGTCAATGTTCTGGTTTATTTAACAGATCTACTCATTATCTCATCAATGTTGAAGTACTGCTCAAAAAAGAGGGTGGAACTCCCTCATTTAATCACCAGGTTGGGAAAAAAAGGGCTTTGTAGACTGAAGGCTGGCCTTTTATTTCAGTTACTTCAAAAGACATCTTCAAATGACATCTTGGGTAGTTATTGGATTGCTGGAGTTTTGCAATATTTACACATTGAAATCCACCTTCTTATGATGATTGTCTGTTGTCTCTCTTGGAAAGGGCAACATTAACATTTCTTTATTTGTAGGTATAGCACCTGGTTTCTTACATATGCATCCACTGGGGGTTAATCCTTTAGTAATAGGACCAAGCAAAATAATAACTAAAAACCGCTAGTCTATACAGTATTTTCAGAAATACAGTATTTGTCAAATAAATATTCATTTCTTTAAAATCACTGTGACTCCAATGGTTATATCTTAAATCCATATATCATGAATATCTATTACCGCATGAGCATAATATTTGACTAAAAGTTGAAATGACTTAAGCACAAGAAATTCTGAATAAAGACTGAAACTTTTAGAGGAGTTCCAAGTTATTTAGCAAATCTTTTTTCTCAATAAAATTGTTATATTCCAAAGCCTCATTTCCCAGTTACCTTTTTTTAAAGACAATTTTTAGAGCAGTTTTAGTTCACAGCAAAATTGAGAGGAAACGATAAGGATTTCCCATAGACCCTCTGCTCCTCCACACACACAGCCTCCCCCCGTTATCAAAATCCCCCAACAGAAGGTACACTTGTTACGATTGATGAACCTACATTGACATGTTGTAATCACCCAAAGTCCATAGTGTATATTAGGGTTCACTCTTGGTGTTGTACAGTCTGTGGGTTTGGACAAATGTATAATGAGAGTATCCACCACTATAGTATCATACAGACTATTTTCACTGTCCTAAAAATTCCCTATGCTCTGCCTATTTAACCCTCTCCCCTACTACCCTCAACCCCTGGCAACAACTGATCTTTTTACTGTCACTGGCTCAAAATTGTTTAAGCAAATCATTTCTCTCAATTAAATTGTTACATTCCAAAACCTCATACTTGGAGTTTCCCAGTTACTTTTTTTTTTTAAGCAATTCCTTATGAGGTTCCACATTCTGATTTTTCATATTATTCTATATCATATAAATGTCAGTGTGCTGCTTCTTTTTCTTACTATGAGAATACATATGTCATAAATTGCTTAAACAATGCATAATGTACACACCAGAAATTGAGAGTTTGGGGGTGACCTTGGGTCATTTTATTAGTCCGTTCTCACACTGCTATAAAGAAATACCTGAGACTGGGTAATTTATAAAGAAAAGAGGTTTAATTGACTCATAGTTGTACATGGTTGGGGAGGCCACAGGAAACTTACAATCATGGCAGAAGGCACCTCTTCACAGGGAGAGAGAATGAGTGCAAGCAGGGGAAATGCCAGACGCTTATAAAACCATCGGATTGGCTGGGTGTGGTGGCTCATGCCTGTAATCCCAGCACTTTGGGAGGCCAAGGTGGGTGGATCACTTGAGGTCAGGAGTTTGAGACCAGCCTGGCCAATATGGTGAAACCCCATCTCTATTAAAAATATTCATAGGAGCATGGGACCATCACTTACCACTGTGTGCTGGTAAATGCAATATGCTAACTGGCTTAATCTTAGCCATGTATGTTATCTATTCCAGTGCCACCCTCAAGTTCATGGGCTGTAAATAGGAGATAGGAGAATTCCCAAAGGCCCTTGTAGATATGATAAATAACCTGGCTACCAAAAAGTAAAAACTTTATCCTTGCTTCTTTACACTTTGTCATGAGTATCTTTAATATACCCCTCGCCCTACAAGAGGGTCATGAGGTAAAGACGATTATTTCTATATTTAATTTCTGCTAACAGGTACTCTTTCAGGAAAAAAAAGCTCAAGTAGCAGCTCCCAGAATATATATTGTAGAAGCTGGCTAATAGGATTCTTCTGTATTCTTCTGCCACCTGTCATCTTGGGATCTCTCACTACTCATTATCTGGTAGCAGGCCTGCTGTGTACAGATGGAAAAGTCACCCCAGAGGGAAGAGAGCTGTTACACTCTACTCCCCTTCTGGTCCCACTTCTGTGCAATGCTAATTTAATCAGGCACATGATTCACTCACTCACCTTAAGCTCAAACCAGACCTCATTCTATTTTTAATATTTTAATTTTATTATTCACCCACAAATGTATCCATCTCAGCTTAGGTATTTCTGAACAGTCAGAAATATAAGCTGAAGGATGAGGTCTTCTCTCCTCATTCCTATTCCACTTCTCTCCAGATCATTCCAAGTGCGTTGTTCCGAGCCATGTGTAACATTAAGTGCTTTGGGCAAGGCATGGTGGCTCACACCTGTAATCCTAGCACTTTGGGAGGCTGAGGTGGGAAAATTGCTTGAGGCCAGGAATTTGAGACCAGCCTGGGCAACATAGTGAGACCCTATCACTACAAAAAATTTTTTAAAAGATTAGCTACGCTCCTGCTTGAGCCTAGAATTGAGGCTGCAGCGAGCCATGATCATGCTACTGCACTGTAGCCTGGGCAACAGAGCATGACCCTGATGACCCTGTTTCTCAAAAAAAAAAAAAAAAAAAAAAAAAAGATAACTGCTTTGAAAGGATTAGAAAGTTACCTTGAAACCAGAATTGGGCTCAATGAATAGCATGTTAACTGGAAATCCAAGTCAATATCCAAAATGGTCCTTTCTAGCAACCCCACTGGAAACAAAGGCCGAACAAATAGGGAAACTTCAGCAGGTTCACAAGGGGCCAGGTTGGCATGTTTGGGTTATCATTCAGAAACTGAAAGCCTTTGGTTTTATTATCAGACTTGTTGTGATCGATGTCAGAGTCTACAGAGGAAAATGTAGGTAGAGAAGTGGAAGCAAGAGAAAGGAAGGTGGTAAAAGCACAAGTAAGTCAGTAAAAGCTGCAATTACTACCTCTGGCTAATAGAAAGTCCAAAGCAAAACCTAGGAGGAGGGACTTGGAAAAAAAAAAAGAACTGACTGACAGGTATGCTTGACTAAGGTCTCACACAGCTAGTTAAAATTCCTTTAGCCACAATAGTGACTGTGGGTGGGTGGGGTCTATAATATACTGCTTTTAATTAACCATTAGAACTTGGTCAATAGCACATGAGTCACAGTCTTCATTTAATAACAGCAAATTATATTTGATTTAGTTATAAAGAAATGCTTAGTTGCACCAGTGAAATCCACACTATATTGATAAATGCTTCAATTTGATTTTCAAGATGAAGATAGAAATATGGAAAAAATAGATGAGATTATTTGCTGTCATACATATTCATGGTAAAGTGTGTTCTGTTTATCTTCACAATATCCTGATTTATGGGAGTAAGAGAAGAAGGGAGTTGGTGAAATATACAAAATAATAGTCACATCTAACAGCAAAATTTACCTGAGACACTGCCATGTAAACAACATTCTGAAAACATCACTCTTCAAAGGTAGTCTCCTGCATGATAAACACTTTTATGTAGAATCAATAACTTCTTGAAGCACCAAAAATTATTTTAGATATTCTCAGGATATAGGAAAGAACAAAATCAGGTTCTCCTACTATACTCTCATAGTACCGAGCACTTTTGACTCAGATGTGGGTTTTTTTTTCTTCACACACCAAGCAAGCAAACAGTTTTGCAGTGGACACCAGCTGAGTATCCTCTAATTCAATTTGATTCTGACACTATCCACCCGGAGAGAGTGATAGATCCTAAAAATTAAGGACTTAGTCCCACAAGACTGCCCCCACCTCTGATGACAATCACAAGTAATAGATTGTCACCTACACTTCTGACTGATTGGCTATATATTGGGGTTCCCACTACCCCCTCCTCAGGTTCAACTTTGCTAGAGTAGCTCACAGAACTCAGTGAAACACTTTACTTGTATTTACTGGTTTATTATAAAGGATATTACAAAGAATACAGATGCAGAGGTGCATAGGGCAAGGTATGCGAGAAAAAGTGTGGAGCTTCCCTGCCCTCTCCAGGTGTATTATCCTTCAGGAACCTCTACTTGTTTGGCAACCCAGAAGCTCATCCAAATCCTGTCCTTTTGGAGGCTACATTACTAAACATAATTTATTAAAACAGTGGCCATGGGTGATCAACTTAACCTCCATCCCCTCTCTCCAGCCAAGAGGTTTTGGGGTAGGGCTAAAAGTCCCAGCCCTACAATTATGTCTTTGTTTTTCCTGTGAGCAGCCCCCTCATCCTGGAGCTAGCTAGGGACTGCCAGCCATGGGTCAACTGATTAGCAAAGAAAAAGACACTTATCACTTTGGAGATTCCAAGAATTTTAAGAGATGTGTACCAGGAAACAGAACCGTATTTCACAATATTACAGATAAATTCTTTTTTTTCAGGAATACAAATTGCAATTTTATTAAAAGCTAATCATGCACATTTTAAAATTCTTTGCATATTTATAATTTATCCTGAAATCAGTCCCCTGAAGCATAAGTATTGTTTTCTCCATTTTACCATTGAAAAATTGGAATACTCACTCAAGATTTTATAGTTAATGAGTGATAGAGCTAGAGTTTGAACACAGGTATTTTTGACTGCCATGCCAGGGTTCTTTGCCATTAATGGTTCTCTGAGAAAAGAAGGTAACCCTTAATCAATTATGAGTTCTTATCACAGATATATTCTAAAATTCCGTTAGAACCTTTGAAATACAATAATGAAAGTTGTATTTTAATACATTTCAGTTTATGTGTTATTTATTAGCTAATTGAGAAAATTATTTCTGGAAGAAAAATAGAATGCTGTGTGGATTTTTAAGTAACTAATATTTTTAAATGTCTCATTGTAAAGTTTCACATCTATAAATAGCAGTTTTTAAGTCTTGCTATCTATTTACAATGAAGATATTAATTCTTTCTTTCTGTGAAGTTTTTAATAGTCATAAAATATATAATTGAAAAGTTTTGCCATCTAAAGTTGCTCTTCATATATCTTCAGTTTAATGAGAAACATTATTGCACATTTTTTCGCATTCAATTAAACCAATAGTTTTTGAATACCTGCTACTGGGGAAGCAAATTACTCGGGGCTGTGGGAGATATAAGAGCTTTCTAGATGCTTAAAAATTAGTGTGAGAAAACAGACAATTATATAAATAACACTTAAAACAAGGCAATGCTGTAATGGAACTGCCATTATTTAAAAACTAAAGTATTGTAAATAACATTGCTGCATTTGAAGTAAAAGTAACTTTAAATGTTAATTTTTCTAGTTGGCCATTAATATTGTAATTAACTATAATATTATTAATATTTAAATCCTGGCTCTAAATAATGAAAGCACTCTGGCAGAAACTGCTACACAATTACCAAACTTTCATTCTCTTCTTATTCCCATCCTCCTTTGATGTTTAGTGTGGATCTGTGATTGACAGCCAAGGAATATGAGCAAAAGTGATGTGCATCACTTTCGGGCCTGACTCCTAACAACTCCCACACACATCTTTCTTGCCCTTCCCAACACTTTTGGCTTGTGCCAGATAAGCATGGTAAACTTGGAAGCTGTAAGTTTCCATAGGAAAGCCACAAGATGGTAGCAACATGAAGCAACACTTGGAAGAGAGCTGCTTGCCAAACAGTAACATCTATTTGGGCTTTATATGAGGGGGAACTTGACCTGTTCTTCTTGGTATCCCTGGTATCTAGCATGCCATCTGAGACACAGTTGCTCAATGAAAATAATTGTGAGCTGTTAAAGAAAACCTTTTAAAGGAATAGATCAGTGTAACAGTGCACACAATTGGATATAATAAACTCCACCTCAGTGTAGAGTATTTTAATAAAACTACAAGATTACCAATGAAGGGTTATATAGAAACTATTCCTCAATAGGTAAAAGGTTAGGGATGATTAACTCTGGGGACCCTTCCAAATATAATATTCCATATTATGCCTTAAATTTAAATGACTAGGAGGTAGCTTCTGGGAGCTGTATCTTTTTTCTTAGTTCCATTATGTTCCACTCCTTTTGTTTTCTTCTTTTCCAAATATTTCATCTTTCCTTGTTAATCAATCAGCATTTGTAGAGCATGTAAAATATGACCAGCCCTGTCCACATGGTGCTTGCCATCTAGTTGGGGAGAGGGCTGTGAAACAACACATTTTGAAACAATTAGTAAGCATTATAAAGAGATCATTAAATGCTCCAGTAAATAGTTGTTGAGTGAGTTGCTTCAAATGTGTAATTTATGCACATTAAAAGCATACAGCCAGCTGCATGGGCAATCAAAAAGCTAAAATTCAACTTGCTTTTCTGTTAATAAGCAGTGCAAACGTGGGAAAGTCATTTAGCCTTTCTCTCTTTTATAAGATAAAAACAACAATTCTGTCCAATTAACTAGGGAGCAGAGTGACAAAGAATTGATTCACGAATTAGAAAGCATGATACCTTAGAATAGAGTACTCTGTTTTGGAGCCTTATGTTCCAATTAGTCTTTACTTGCATTGCTTATTTTCTTTCTATATGTAATCAGGATTTTTGCTGTTACTGATGGTTCATTTAAGAGTTCTTCATTCCATCCGAGTGCAGCACCCAGAAAACTGGCTGTCTTTGATTGTGTTGAAAAAGCACAATAGGCCTCTGGCCCTCCATGGCAAAGAATATGATCATAAGTTTGGACTTATGGCCCCTTCAGTAGCCAGTTGTCACTGCTGCTGTTGACCTGCCACCTGCCTGAGCTCAGGGTAGAGACAGGAGACTCAAATGCTTCAGCAGGATTTCTTTGTCCAGCTGAAGATGACTAAGTTGTAGATTACATTTCAGGAGCATTATTTCATATTGTGGTAGATATACTAAATATTCTCTCATATCTGAAGAGATAGCAAAGTTACAAAGAGAAACATTTAATGTTTTTGAAATGCCATAATATAATAATCATTGATGTGAAATTGGGTAAGTTTGCCCTGACTAGCTAAACTTCTTGCCTGCCAGCTGTAAATGCTGCCTCCAGCTGCATTCTTTTCATGAAGAAACTGTTTGAGTTTTGTACATTTTATCAGACTCATTTTAAAACCATTTTCAAAATGTTTTCTACTGGTTTGGTTTTGAAGATTTTTGCATCAGTAATATATTTCTTAGATATTTTTCTCCAATTAGACTCTTCGAAAAAGAAATGAATGAAAAGTTCCATTTCAGCTTTTCCAAAAGTTTGACTCTGTTTCAGATGGCCTCTTCAACCTCTATGAGAGGTTTGACAACCTAACCCACTTAGAACAATGTCTTCAAATCAGGGAATTAGAGGATTCTTATGTTAGATGTGCAAATTCTCAATTAAAAACAAAATAATTGAAGACAAAACTTCCTAGCCTTGTCTGAAAATTATTTACAAAGTATGCCCTACACTGTTTTGCACTAATGACAACATAGCATATGGCACACAGTAAAAACTATATTAATATTTGACTTAAATTAGTGTTGATCGATTAACCAGATTTTGAATGGTGTTTTCTCTTTGAATTTCCTGATAAAGTAAAATAATATTTCTTCAATTCTTATAATTAATAATCTTTGTACATTATATGTATTGTGTACTTATTCTATCAATTACTTAGAGAGGTTAAAACATCTCTGGATTTGTTTGTTTCCCTTGAATTCTATCAGTTTTGCTTCATATATTTTTGAAACTCTGCTATTAGGTATATATATATTTTTGGATCATTATACCCTTTTTGGTAGAGTGACCCTTTTATTATTATGAAATTACCCTCTATCTCTGGTATTACATCTTATCTTAAAGTCTACTTTGCCATTAATGTAGCAAACCAGACAATGTAGCCACACCAGACTTCTTATGCTTAATGTTTATATACTATATCTTTTTCCATGTTTTCACTTTCAATCTATCTGTGTCATTATATGTAAAGGACATCTTTTTTTCAGGGGAAAATGTTTAATTTCTCATTTTGCATCCATAACTTTAAAAATATGTTCCGTTTACCACTGCTATAGTTGTTAAAAAGGACCTGCCTGAAATTTTCCGGAAAAAGAATTTAAGAAATAATGTCACCTTTTTGGTACTTTATGTTTTTTGTTTCTTTTTTTTTTTTTTTTTTTTGAGACAGGGTCTCACTCTGTTGCCCAGGATGGAGTATGGTGGTGTGATCTTGGCTGACTGCAACCTCTGCCTCCTTGGCTCACACTATCCTCCCACCTCAGCCTCCTGAGTAACTGAGGCTACAGGCACACATTACCATGCCTGGCTAATTTTGTTTATTTTTTATAGAGACGGGGTCTCACTTTGTCACCCAGGCTGGAAAGGACATCTTTTATAAATGGCTTACATTTGGATCTCGCTTTTTTATCCAGTCTGACAATTTCTGCCTTTTAGTTGGAGTGTTTGGTCCCTTTACATTTAATGTAATTATTGATATGTTTGGATTTAAGCCTACCATCTTGCTATTTGATTTTTGTCTCATTTATTCTTTCATCCTTTGTTCGATAATTGTCTTTTGCATTGCAAACTGAATGCAGTGTTCTTAGCCCAAGAACAAAGACTCAGGGAAGAAAATTAAGTATCTAACGGTTCCGTGATGTTAGCTAGAGAGGAGAGACTTTTTCACAAATGTTGTAGTTCAGTGCCTTCCAGACTTTAGTGTGCATATAATTCACCCTAGAATCTTGCTAAAATGCAGATTATGACTCAGGAGTTCTTGGGTGAGGCCTGAGTGTCTGCATTGCTAACACATTCTCAGGTGATGCTGATGTTGTTGGTCCAAAGCTCTAAATTTGTAGTCAACTTTCATCTTCTCATTGCCCATCCATCGATTCCACCTGTGTCTCAGCAGATCTTGCGGTGAGAAAGAGTTGAAACAGTTTTTCAGAACTCTTCACAAAAGTGAGGAGATTGACTTTAAAACAACTTTTAAGAGTTAATAAAAATAAAATTGAGGTAAACACAAAGTAGAAAGATATCCTGGTAAGAATGGGTCAAAGGTACATGAGATTCAATTAAGGAAAGAAAACCAGTCTCTCTTGGATGGCTTTCAGAAGTAGATTAAATAAAATATTATTAGAGGTTGTTTTGTAAAGAGCTATTCGCTTTTTCTTGGTGCAACCTCTGGATGAAATCTATTCCCCAGGATACCAAAAAATATCCTCCACTCAAGATGTTTTGCTTTTTATTGAATTGAGTTGCTTGCTCAAGGATGTAAACATAAACAGACAATGGTACTCTTAATCATTTTAATCCAAGAACCTGTCTGGCCCCGTCTCCCAATTTTAGAATCTCTTTCAGCAAAGTTCTCAGATTGTTAAAGATGAGAGTACTTAGTCTTTTCAAATTGCTACATCCACACTGAAAGAAGTGATGTACTCTTCTCCAGTCTGCTATTGGTGTCTTTAGATGCCCATTTTCACAGATACCATCCAGTGCATTGATAACCACTGATCATTTTATAGGCAAATTCAAGCTTCTTAATTATGAATATGCATTACACAGACAATGAAAGAACCTACTGAAGTCCATTAACCCCAGACAGAAGGACAGCCACCTAACAAAAAAGTAACCAAAACTATAGAAGGGATATAATACAAGGTTGATAGTAAATGAAGTCGATGGTTGTTTTTCTCATTTACCCTTATACTGTTGAGGGCTGCTCATGCACATCTCTTCTTTATCAAATGACAGCTATAAAAGGAAAATTGTGAAACGTAAATGCTTCTTTCCACCTATTTTTTCTACCCACTACTATTCCTCCTACTATTCTTTTATTCTTTCAGAGTTTGCTTTAGCATAATTATTTGATCAGATTCTTTGTTACAACTTAATTTTTTTTGTTTGTTTTTCTTTTTCTTTTTTTTTTTCTTTTATCATTATACTTTAAGTTTTAGGGTACATGTGCACATTGTGCAGGTTAGTTACATATGTATACATGTGCCACGCTGGTGCGCTGCACCCACTAACTCGTCATCTAGCATTAGGTATATCTCCCAATGCTATCCCTCCCCCCTCCCCCCAAAAAACCAAACACCGCATATTCTCACTCATAGGTGGGAATTGAACAATGAGATCACATGGACACAGGAAGGGGAACATTACTACTTATTTTTATAGACCCAATGGCTACTACAGTGCCATGACATAATTGATACTTAATAAATATTTGCTAAATGAATAAATGAGTATATTACATATATGGTAATTCATTATTTAAACCTCTTTGCACGCTTTCCTGACTCACTAAGAAAATGGAAAAAATACACATTGACACTTAAACACACGTGTACACTGTAAAACTGGAATGAGTAATCTATTTGGTTTTTATTCAGAGTAGGGGATAAAAATGCATTTCTTTTTATTAATTTTCTGAATACAAAGACCAGTGAAATGATTTCTTATACTGAGCAGAATCTCTTAAATTTATTTGCCTCAAGAAGTAGTTAATCAAGCCAGGCGCGGTGGCTCATGCCTGTAATCCCAACACTTTGGAAGGCCGAGGCAGGTGGATCACCTGAGGTCAGGAGTTCAAGACCAGCCTGGCCAACATGGTGAAACCCCATCTCTACTAAAAATACAAAAAATTAGCTGTGCGTGGTGGCATGCACCTGTAATCCCAGCTACTTGGGAGGCTGAGGCGGGAGAATCACTTGAATCCGGGAGGCGGAGGTTGCAGTGAGCCGAGATCACACCATTGCACTCCAGCCTGGGCGACAAGAGCGAAACTCCGTCTCGAAACAAACAAACATACAAAAAAAGAAGTAGTTAATCAAATAGAAAAATGTTTTCCTAATTTAAAAATAAAAATTGAATCTTACTTATCTAACTTTGGAACTCCTGGTACTTTGAAGCCATTACTATTTGTGGTGGATGCAGTGATATGCCACCCTGATTCTGCTTCAGTAAAGGGCTTGTTGTCTTAGCTGTTGGCAGTACTGTTAGCAGGCGGCCTTCAGCTCTCAGCCCCTTCCCACTTGCCTCAGACACAAAAAGCCATCTGACCCAGTGTCACATCCCTTACCCAATGATCCACACCCAATGACCAGTCATTGCAAGGGTAAAATGACCTGGCCATCTTGACCCAACTTGGAACAACTCTGAAGGGCCATTCTAGTTTTAGAGCTCTCTCTAGAGTCAGCCACGGGTATCGTTTGGCCTGCCTTGTACTTCAACTTCTCCCTGTCTCCAAGCTCTGCTTCCTTCCCCTAATACCCTAAGGGCACTCCCTAATAACTATTTTGCATGTTAAACTTCATGTCAAAGTCTTCTTCCTGAGGAGCTCAATCTATGATAATATTATTTCCATATTCTTTTTATACAAAATAGAAAAAATGTTTAAAGTATCCACCGAGGACAAATTGCTGTATTTTGTGGAGTCTACTCTTTGAAAGGACACTTGTGTTGGGTCAGAGCTGCTTAACAAAAATCCGTGTTGCCAAGGTTACTGCTACCTAATACTTTTTGGTTTCATCATAGTGTTCATGGTGCAGAGGAGTGGGCTGGGAGTCACATTGCCATGGTGATTCTCCAGCAGTAAGAATCACCATTTGAGTTGTCTCCTTTTACAAGAGGGTTAGAGTTGGTGATGCGGTTACCAAGTTGACTCTTCTCCAATCATGCTGACATGAGGTAAGATCTGCAAATTTCTCTCATACCTGGAGAAACTATGTGGCGTCCAGAAACATAACTTTGAAAGATCAACCTTAGAAATTCTCTCTGAATTATTACATCATCCCATCACCAGTCCTGGGGCTCAAGCCTGTTTGCTTTGTGGTCTTCCTTCCCAAAATTATTTCTGTATCTTTTTTTTATGATATGCTGATAATTTCAGGTAGACAGGGTTGGGCAGAGGTCTCTATGGTGAGAGTTCTTTGGTTGTCTCCATGGTGATCCCTACATAGGTAATAAATCGACAACTTAATTTGATTTCTTATCTTGAATTTTATTTATCTTATCTTACCACTGGCTTCAGCTTTGGAATATGTGTGGGAGAAACCACTGGGGCTCATACAGTAATTTGTGAAGCAGCTTGTGCCAAGCTTCCTTGGAGACTTAGTCTCTCTTTTCTATTTCTTTTTCCTTTCTTCGGGAACCCAATGTCCTTATGTGTTTTGTACTCTGTTTCCTCCCAGTTCCTTTGTTAAAAAAAAAAAATGAAACTAAGGTATAAACAAATGATAAAGCAATATATTACCTCCCACAGGAGTTGGCTTTTTAAATGGAAACAAGGTAATGAATCTCTCTAATTATGCAATTTTAGGCATTGAAAAACTATGTGAAATGGGGAAGAATAAGAAGATGTTGAGGAACAAGACCTATGTATTGACTACTCTGTGCCCTATTTTCCCCATGTGTATTATCTACTTCTAAGGGTTGTTGTGTGGGCAAAATGAAATATAACATGTAAAGTGTTTAGAACAGTGTTTGACTAGTAATTTAGCTATTGCTATTTTTATATTAATATTTATTTTTACTCATTAGGACAATTAAGAAAAGTTTCCTTCTGCAATCTTTAACTTGAAGTCTGGTTTTTCCCTTTATGGGGAAGGTATAAAACCTTGCTATTCAAACAATTGTTCATAGACCAGAAGCATAAGCCACAGACAGGAGCTTGTTAGAAGTGTAAAATGTCAAGCCCCATTCCAGACCCAATAAAGCAGAATCTGTAGTTTAGCAAGACTCCCAGGTGATTCTTACATGCATTAAAGTTTGAGCAGTCTTGAATAAGTGCAGCGGTTCGAAACAGAGGCCTTTAAATCAGACAGCCTAGTTCCAATTTACTTGCTTTGGAATCTTGGGCAACTTTCTTAAATTCTCTGAGTCTTAGGTCTCTCATGTGTAAAACCTGGGATAATCATGTCTATTTAGTAGGGTTGTTGTTAGGATTAAATGGAAAAATATGTAAAGCACTTATTAATGTGCCTGTTGGGCAAATACCAAGTGTGTGATGAATTGTGGCTATAACTGCTCTCAAAAGAATCTCTGAGCTTTTGATACATGAAATTTCAAGCCCCCAAGGGCAAAGAACTTGACCTCATTCAATGCAGGATTTTTCATACATTCATATAATTTTAAAGATACACAAGGAATGTTAGGACCATCTTTGATAAATCAAAAGAAAAAAATGCTTAGATTTACTTGTATTAGACAAATTCTGCCTGTTTGGGCCTTCCACTGTTTGCTGGGTAAGATATATTCAGGTTAGACACACGAGTCATCAGTTGGCTATGGCATGTGGAGGAAGTACCAGCAGGTCCAGCCAACACATTTGAGTATTTTAGACATAATTCTCTGTGCCGGTGAGAATGGCCAGCTTTTTTTGGGTCTGTGAACCTGAATGTAGTACTTCCAGAAAATTTGGAAACTGGGCTTTGAAGCTGTTGAACTTGGATTGGCAACCACAGGCTCCACATTCTCAAACTCATTTCACATTAATCTCATGGCTAAGAGCAGAAGTTCAGGAGTCAAGTCATCAGAGTTCAGATTGCATCATTTGTGAAATAAGAATCATTATAACTCCTCTATTTAAGGATGGCTAGGAGAGTTGAATGAGATAATCTAGGTAAAGAGTTTAGCACATTATCTGCCTCATAATAAGCACTCAATAAAAGTAAGCTTTTGCAAAAAGAACAAAGTTGGAGGCATCACATTACCTGACTTCAAAGTATACTACAAGGCTACAGTAACCAAAACAGCATGGTACTGGTACCAAAACAGACATATAGACCAATGGAGCAGAACAGAAGCCTCAGAAATAACACCACACATCTACAACCATCTGATCTTTGACAAACCTGACCAAAACAAGCAATGGGGAAAGGATCTCCTATTCAGCAAATGGTGCTGTGAAAACTGGCTAGCTGTATGTAGAAAACTGAAACTGGATCCCCTTTCCTTACAAATTATACAAAAATTAACTCAAGATGGATTAAAGACTTAAATGTAAACCTAAGACCATAAAAACCCTAGAAGAAAACCTGGGCAATACCATTCAGGACATTGGCATGGAGAAAGACTTCATGATGAAAACTCCAAAAGCAATTGCAACAAAAGCCAAAATTGACAAATGGGATCTAAGTAAACTAAAGAGCTTCCGCACAGCAAAAGAAACTATCATCAGACTGAACAGGCAGCCTACAGAATGGGAGAAAGTTTTTTCCATCCACCCATCTGACAAAGGTCTAATATGCAAAATTTACAAGGAACTTAAACATATTTACAAGAAGAAAACAAACAATCCCATCAAAAAGTGGGCTAAGGATATGAACAGACACTTCTCAAAAGAAGACAGTTATGCAGCCAACAAATATTTGAAAAAGCTCAACATCACTGATAGTCAGAGAAATGCAAATCAAAACCACAATGAGGTACCATCTCATGCCAGTCAGAATGGCGATTATTAAAAAGTCAGGAAACGATAGATGCTGGCGAGGATGTGGAGAAATAGAAACACTTTTATACTGTTGGTGGAAATGTAATTATTTCAACCACTGTGGAAGACAGTATGGTGATTCCTCAAGGATCTAGAACCAGAAATACCATTTGACCTAGCAATCCCATTACTGAGTATATACTCTAAGGATGATAAATCATTCTACTATAAAGACACATGCACATGTATTTTTATTGCAGCACTATTCACAATAGCAAGGACATGGAACCAACCCAAATCCCCATCAATGATAGACTGGATAAAGAAAATCTGGCACATATACACCATGGAATACTATGCAGCCATAAAAAGGAATGAGATCATGTCCTTTGCAGGGACATGGATGAAGCTGGAAGCCATCATCCTCAGCAAACTAACACAGGAACAGAAAACCAAACACCGCATGTTCTTACTCATAAGTGGGAGTTGAACATTGAGAATACATGGACACAGAGAGGGGAGTAACACATACCAGGGCCTGTTGGGGGGTGGAGAGTGAGGGAAGGGAGCTTAGAAGATGGGTCAATAGGTGCAGCAAACCACCATGGCACACATATACCTATGTAACAAACCTGCACTTTCTGCACTTATATCCCTTTTTTTTTAGGAGAAATAAAGAAAAAATAATAATACAAGAAAAAAAGTAAGTTTTTGTTGTTATTGTTGTTGTTGTTATACTATCATACTTATCAAACATCTGTTTTCCTTCAAATCAGACTCCCGCTGATTTTCTTGACCTCAATGCTGAAATGTGGGATAGAATATCCAGCCTCTAACTAGATCTACCATAAGTTTGGTTGGAAGAATTAGAGTTAATATCATGACACACCAATGAAAAAGGTGAGACAACCTAGTAGATTTCCACATAAAGGCATTTCCTAGATGACTGAGCACTTGAAAAACAAATTTCAGTGTTGTTGACATGCTAGTGTATCCAGACTCTAAAAGACTCAGCCATCTTCCAGCTTTTAATGAGTTCCCCAAGGAGAAGCAGAAGCTACTATCCCAGCAAGCCTTTTTGCCACACCTGAATTGTTTGTCGTTCAGTTGCTAATGCTCTGGAGACTAACACATTGGTACCCTTTTCTGCAGAATACTGAATTGACAAACTTAAACAAATTCTTGATCAATCACTGCTGGCAGTGTAGACCTGTTTGGAAATAGAATGGAGTGGGTAAAATGAAAACTTGGACTATATACACAGAAGGTATCCTGAAATAGAACACATTAAGAATTTGGGAGCCTTCAGTCACCTGAACTACTCAATCTAAACTGGGACCAATGACAAGGTTTTGGGTGAGCTTCTGCAGCCTGATGGAAATATTACTTCAGGCATAATTAGTAGTAGACATCAAAAAAACCTTAAAACCTTATCAAACTTTGCCTGGCTTTCCAAATGTTCCCTTAAGATGGATTCTTAGAAGTAGAATGCATCAATCAAAGGTAAGAATGTATTTCAGATAATCAGTACATTGGCCAAATTGTTTTACAAAAGGATTGTTACAAATATATCCTCCCATGAGCAGTGTGTGAACATGCTCTTCCGAGAGCACCAGTGATTGCTCAGAATGTTATGTTTGGTCATTCTTCCCTAATTTTATGGTTACAATGGCTATCTCATTATTTTACCATTCTTTTTTTTAATGCGGTTTATCATTTCACACATAAATGTATTGATGATTTGTCATTTTTTTATTTTGTGATTTTTTAATGACCATAGTCCATTTTTTCTACCAGACAGTTTTATCTCATAGCTTTATTAGTACCTTTATATATTAAAAGACATTAATACTTTGTTATATATATTTTTCGCACCATATATTTTGCCAGTAATTTTAAGTTGGATTTTTATTGTTAACATTGTATAGAAATTTAGAATTTTTATGCAGACAAATCTATCTAACCTTTCTTTTATGATTATTTTTCATATTGCTTTTATTCTTGTAAACCTTTCCCCATTCAGAGAACAAGTGAATATTTACCCATATTTTCTCTTAACAAGCACAAGCTGTATTAAGTATAAAAATGCTTATTTGAAGGCACAATGTAGTCAGAATGATTTCACTTTACTCACCATAAATAAATGCTTCATAAAGTATATGAATTTTGAGGGACTCATGAATTGAATGTAGATATAATTATTTCAGGGCATAAATAAAGTTACCTTGCCAAAGAGTACTTGGCAAAAAAGATCAAAAACACATGTGAGAGAAGAATAGTAACTGTTGTAAAAGTCAAGTTGCAACTAGACTGTTTAGAGAAGTTCCATAGTTCTGATTCGTGAAAGGAAACAACTTTATATTATTATCCTTATTTTCAGTTAGCTTCATGTGCAACAAATATTTAACAAGTATTCACATATTCAGATAGCATTGTATTATATTAACAATCTTGTCTAATACTAATTGACTTTGCAAAGATTTTGCTTGCAATGCAACAAACTTTAAAATAGAAGAAACTACAATTGTAAATGTGCTAACAAGTTTTATCCTAATAATCCATGTTCCCATAATGAATACCCACACAGAAGAATGTATGAACTCTTATTTAAAATAAACACATGAAAGGAAGTGAAGGAAGAAGAGAGGAGGGATGCTAAGAAGACAGCTGAATTCATTAGTTCCTGTAAAAGGCTAACAATATTTTTACCCAGTCAAATTTATTCTCTGAAAGATTGAAAGCGATGTGTCAGTCTGTGCCCACATAGAAACAGAAAACAGAATCTACATTGGGAAAGAAAAGGGAAAAGCATGGGTTGTCAGAAAGTCACCACAGTCTCTGTCAACACCATATCACTGACATCTGGTTTTTCAAAGGGCACCTTCAAGGAACCATTAAGCAGAGAATAATGAGAACAATAAAAGGCAATGATTTTCAACCATTTACATATAATTGACAATAGATTTTTGTGGCTTGTATACTATGTGCATGAGTAGTGTGATGGACCACATGATCTCAATAAATATATGGTAGAGTTTAGAAGACTGATTACAATATTAGCCCCAATTTTTCATGTGTGCTTGTATCCATGGCCTTTGATAGTATCCTCTACAATGACTTTGGACCTGGCCATGTAACTTGCTTCACCAAAGGAATAGTAAAATATTTTATGCAATCAGAAGCTTGAGAAGGCAGTTGTGTGGTTATAATTACTCTCTTGGTTCATGCAACTATCAGGAAAACAAGTCCAAACTAGTCTGTTGAAGGATGAGACCATGTGGGAGAGAATCAAGTGATCCCACTTGAGGCCATCCTAGATCAGCCAACCCCAGCCAACCTGTCTGCTGCTGCTGACTATAAATATATGATCAAGTCCAGCCTAGATCAGATGCTCTTGGCTGAGATATCAAGAACCTCCCAGCTCACCCTACACTCAAGAGCAAAATAAATGGTGGGTTTTTTTTTTTGTTTTTGATAAAGACTCTTTTTTTATTATCATACGTTAAGTTCTGGGGTACAAGGGAAGAATGTGCAGGTTTGTTACATAGGTATACATGTGCCATGGTGGTTTGCTGCACCCATCAACCTGTCATATACATTAAGTAATTCTCCTAATGCTATCCCTCCCCAAGCCACCCACCCCCCAACAGGCCCTGGTGTGTGATGTTCCCCTCCATGTGTCCATCTGTTCTCATTATTCAACTCCCACTTATGAGTGAGAACATGCGGTGTTTGGTTTTCTGTTCCTGTGTTAGTTTGCTGAGAATGATGGTTTTCAGCTTCATCTATGTCCCTGCAAAGGACATTAACTCATCCTTTTTATGGCTGCATAGTATTCCATTGTGTATATGTGCCACATTTTCTTTATCCAGTCTATCATTGATGGGGATTTGGGTTGGTTCCCAGTCTTTGCTATTATGAATAGTGCCACAATGAACATACATGTGCATGTGTCTTTATAGTAGAATGATTTATAATCCTTTGGGTATATACCCAGTAATGGGATTGCTGGGTCAAATGGTATTTCTAGTTCTAGATCCTTGAGGAATCACCACACTGTCTTTCACAATGGTTGAACTAATTTACACTCCCACCACCAATGTAAAAGCATTCCTATTTCTCCACATCCTCTCCATCATCTGTTGTTTCCTGACTTTTTAATGATCGCCATTCTAAGTGGCGTGAGATAGTATCTCATTGTGGTTTTGATTTGAATTTCTCTAATGACCAGCAATGATTAGCTTTTTTTCATATGTTTGTTGGCTGCATAAATGTCTTCTTTTGAGAAGTGTCTGTTCATATCCTTAGCCCACTTTTTGATGGAAGTGTTTGTTTTTTTCTTGTAAATTTGGTTAAGTCCTTTGTAGATTGATATTAGACCTTTGTCAGATGGATAGATTGCAAAAATTTTCTCCCATTCTGTAGGTTGCCTGTTCACTCTGATAATAGTTTCTTTTGCTGTGCAGAAGCTCTTTAGTTTAATCACATCCCATTTGTCAATTTTGGCTTTTGTTGCCATTGCTTTTGGTGTTTTAGTCATGAAGTCTTTGCCCATGCCTATGTCCTGAATGGTATTGCCTAGGTTTTCTTCTAAGGTTTTGATGGTTTTAAGTCTTACATATAAGTCTTTAATCCATCTTGAGTTAATTTTTGTATAAGGTGTAAGGAAGGGGTCCAGTTTCAGTTTTCTGAATATGGCTAGCCAGTTTTCCCAGCACCATTTATTAAACAGGGAATCCTTTCCCCATTGCTTGTTTTTGTCAGGTTTGTCAAAGATCAGATAGTTGTAGATGTGTGGTGTTATTTCTGAGGCCTCTGTTATGTTCCATTGGTCTATATATCTGTTTGGGTACCAGTACCATGCTGTTTTGGTTACTGTAGCTTTGTAGTATAGTTTGAAGTCAGGTAGTATGATGCTTCCAGCTTTGCTCTTTTTGCTTAGAACTGTCTTGGCTATATGGGCTCTTTTTTGGTTCTATATGAAATTTAAAGTACTTTTTTTCTAATTCTGTGAAGAAAGTCAAGGGTAGCTTGATGGGGATAATATTGAATCTATAAATTACTTTGGGCAGTATGGCCATTTTTACAATATTGATTCTTCCTTTCCATGAGCATGAAATGTTTTTCCATTTGTTTGTGTCCTCTCTTATTTGCTTCAGCAGTGGTTGGTAGTTCTCCTTGAAGAGGTCTTTCACATCCCTTGTAAGTTGTATTCCTAGGTATAGACAGCTAGCCAGACTAATAAAGAAGAAAAGAGAGAAGAATCAAATAGACACAATAAAAAATGATAAAGGGGAGATCACCACTGATCCCACAGAAATACAAACTACCATATCTTGGTAGCTTGTATTGGGAATACCATAAACAACTCTACACATATAAACTAGAAAATCTAGAAGAAATGGATAAATTCCTGGACACATACACCCTCCCAAGTCTAAAGCAGGAAGAAGTCGAATTCCTGAATAGACCAATAACAAGTTCTGAAATTGATGCAGTAATGAATAGCCTACCAACCAAAAAAAGCCCAGGACCAGACGGATTCACAGCTGAATTCTACCAGAGGTACAAAGAGGAGCTGGTACCATTCCTTCTGAAATGATTTCAAACAATAGAAAAACAGGGGCTCCCCACTAACTCATATTAGGAGGCCAGCATCATCCTGATAGCAAAACTTGGCAGAGGCACAACGAAAAAAGAAAATTTCAGGCCAATATCCCTGATGAACATCGATGTGAAAATCCTCAATAAAATACTGGCAAACCGAATCCAGCAGCATATTAAAAAGCTTGTTCACCATGATCAAGTTGGCTTCATACCTGGCATGCAAGGCTGATTCAACATATGCAAGTCAATAAACATAATCTATCATATAAAGAGAATCAATAACAAAAACCAAATGATTATCTCAATAGATGCAGAAAAGGCCTTGATAAAATTCAACATCACTTCATGCTAAAACCACGCAATAAACTAGGTATTGATGAAACATATATCAAAATAATGAGAGCTATTTATGACAAACCCACAGCCAATATCATACTGAATGGGCGAAAGCTGGAAGCATTCACTTTGAAAACCGGCACAAGACAAGGATGCCCTCTCTTACCACTCCTATTCAAGATAGTACTGGAAGTTCTGGCCAGGGCAATCAGGCAAGAGAAAGAAAGAAAGGATAATCAAATTGGAAGAGAGGAAGTCAAATTATCTCTTTTTGCAAATGACATGATTGTATATTTAGAAAACTCCATCGTCTCAGCCCAAAAACTCCTTAAGCTGATAAGCAACTTCAGCAACGTCTCAGGACACAAAATCAATGTGCAAAAATCACAAGCATTCCTACATGCCATTAATAGACAAACAGAGCATCAAATCATGAGGAAACTTCCATTCACGACTGCTATTAATTGAATTCTTTAGTGTCAGGGTTTTTGCATTTTATTATATCTATCTCTGTTAATTTTCTTATTCAGATTATTCATTGTTATTCTGACTTCTTTGCATTATCTGTGCTCTCTTCTATCTCACTGAGCTTTTTAAATATCTTATTTTGAATTCGTTTTTGGACATTTTATTTTTTATTATTCTGTTGTTGGAGAATTATTGTGTTTCTTTGAACATGTTGTCTCCTTGCTTTTTTATGTTTTTTTTTGTTTGTCCTTACATTGATATCTGCATGTCTAGTATAGCTGTTGCTCCTTCCAATTTTAGGGATTGGCTTTTGTAACAATTTTTTTCTATAGATGTATTTATGGGGTATCTATTGGTTGGGTAGGGTGTTTTGGCTTTAATTCTGAGTGTGCGCAGTAGTGTAGTCTCCATGTGATTTGTCATCTGTAATCAGCATCAGTGGTGTCTGTGAGTTCCTTGGTGGCTTAGGCTGTGTTTTTTAGTGGTGGCTGTGGTGAGGCTTTGCTAGGGAAAAGGATGTCAGGTGGGCTAACCCTGGGGCTCCAGTAGTGGTGGTAGTGGATCAAGCATGCTAGTCCTTGGGCCCCCAGGCAGCGTACATGGGCACTGATGGTAGCAGGTCCAGGCAGGCTGATCACTGGGCCTCCAGGTGGCTCGCTCAGGTGCCAGCAGTTGCTAGGGGGTGGGTAGGTCCTAGAGCCTTTGGGTGGTGCATGTGGCATTGGTGATTGCAATAATGGTGAGAGGTCAACCCATGGGCCCCAGGCAGCACATGCTGATACCAGCAGTGGTGTCAGTGGGCTGGGTACACCAGTCACCAGGCCCTAGGTGGTGTGTGCAGGTGTGTATCAGCAGCAGTGGTGTTCTCTGGCCCCTGGAAGGATTGCACAGATGTGGTAGGCAGGGTGAGTCAATCCCTGGGCCCCTGGACAATGTGTGTAGGCACTGGCAGGCTGAGTGGGCCTGTTCTCAGGCCCCTAAGAGGAATGCATGAATTGCAACAGGGGTGGGTGGTGCAAGGTAATCCCCAGGCCCCCAGACTGCATGCTTAAGAGCCAGCAGCAAGTGGGCTAGGCCTATTGTTAGGTTGTCTAATGGTGCATGCACACATCAGTGACAGAAGGCAGGGAAGGCCAATCCGCAAGCCCTTAGATGAGATTCGTGGGTACTGGCAGGGGCAGTGCTGGATGGGGTAGGCCTATCCTCAGGCCCCTCAGTGGTGCATGCAAGCAGCAGCTCTGTTAGGTGAGGCAGATCAATCCCAAGGTTTTTGGATAGCACACTCAGGTGAGGGCAGCAGTGGTTGGGAATGGTCTGTCCTCAGGGCTCAGGATGGTGCCCAGGCAGGCCAGTCCCTAGGCCCTCTGAAGGCATGTGCAGGTGCCTAATGTCTCTGCTGCTGAGAGGAGCAAGATTGTTGTCAGTGGCAGCGGCATTAGTCAGGCAGCTCTCAGGCTCTGAAGAGTATATACTTCAGCTCTCTTTGTCCTGGTGGCAGCCTCCCTGATGCACTGCACCACCCTTTTCCTAGGTAGTAGGACACTGCCAAGGACCTGACCACACTGCTAGGTTTAGCTGGTATCGTGACACCACAACCTTCTGGGTGGACATGGGGGAAATGTCAGTGGGGTTCCAGGGAGGTGGAGATGCAGAGTCTGTTGGGCCCCAGGGCAGGAGGTAGTTCTGGCAAGCGCTAAGCTCTCAAAATGGCATGGTGCTGCAGCTGCTTGGGTCTAAGGCAGTATGTGGGACCCACTATAAACTTCCTCTATGGAACAATGCCATTGCATGGACTTCAGGCAGCTTCCATTACTAGTTTGAGGGCCTGCTAGGGTCAAGAGACTGTCCCAGGGCTTGGCTTGCCAAAATGTGCTGCAGGAATGTAGACTGTTGAGGATCTTTCACTTATGTTTTCCTCACACTGGGGAGTTTCTCCTGAATCCCAGCCAATCCCAGCCAGCCTAGATACTGCACTTCCCTCTGCTTCTATGCCTCAGAGATTCCTTGTGACTTCCCTGCTGAATTCCAGTGTTCTCTGTTGGATGCTTTATTCAACATGTGATTATCTATTTTCTGTTTTGGTGCTTCTTTGCAGAGTACGTGATTGATGTGGGCCTCTAGTCTGCCATCTTTCCCAAGGTCACTGGAGAAGGGATAGCTCCCTAACAGTTTCCAGCAGAGTCTTATATGACTCTCTGGTTATGTGACAGAGTCAGATTGTTTACACTAGGTGTAAGGTATCAATAAACTGCCCTCAGTACCACCAGAGAAATTTGAAACCTCAGGGTTATAAATCACTAGTTATCCCACTGCCTTTGGTCAAGAATACATGCTAGACATTCAGGCAACTCTAGACATAAGCATATTCTATCCTTCATAGCTACAAAGGTGGTGGCCTAGAGAAAATGCTGCTTCAGCTAAGTCTTGGAAAAAATAGGCATTTATGTTTATTGTGAATTCAATAGTGTCAGACATTTACTTGATAGTCAATAAATGTTAAATACTTTTAAATTGGTATATGCAGAAAGCAGAATAATTTTCAACTAAATTTTAGTCTGTTTTCATATGGTTATAAAGATACTATGAGACTGCGTAATTTACAAACAAAAGAGGTTTAACTGACTCACAGATTTGCATGGCTGGGGAGGCCTCAGGAAACTTACAATCATGGTGGAAGGTGAAGGGGAAGCAGGCACCTTCTTCACAATGCAGCAAGAAAGAGAGTAACAGGGGAAACTGCCACTTTTAAAATCATCTCAGGAGAACTCCCTCATTTTCATGAGAAGAGCTTGGAGGAAATGGCCCCCATGATCTAATCACGTCCCACCAGGTCCCTCCTTCAACACATAGGATTATAATTCAAGATGAGATTTGGGTGGGGACACAGAGCCAAATCATATAATTCCACCCCTAGGCCCTCCGAAATCTCATGTCCTTTTCAGATTTCGAAACCAATCATGCCTTTCCAACAGTGCCCCAAAGTCTTAACTCATTCCAGCATTAACCCAAAAGTCCAAGTCCAAAGTTTCATCTGAGACAAGGCAAGTGCCTTCCACCTATGAGCCTGTAAAATCAAAAGCAAGTTAGTGACTTCCAAGATACAATGGGGGCACAGGCATTGGGTAAATATTTCCATTCCAAATGGTAGAAATTGGCCAAAACAAAGGGGGCACAGGCCCCATGCAAGTCCGAAACCCAGCAAGGCAGTCATTAAACCTTGAAGCTTCATAATCCCCTTTGACTCCATGTCTCACATCCACGGCATGCAGATGCAAGGGGTGGGCTCCCAAGGCCTTGGGTAGCTCTGCTTCTGTGGCTCTGCAAGGTACAGCTCCTGTAGCTGCTTTCATGGGCTGGTGTTGGGTACTTGTGGCTTTTCCAGGAGCATGGTACAAGCTGTTAGTAGATCCACCTTTCTCAGGTCTGGAGGATGGTGGCCCTTTTCTCACAGCTCCCCTAGGCGGTGCCCCAGTGGAGACTCTGTGTGTGGGCTCACACTCCACATTTCCGTTCCGCACTGCTCTAGCAGAGACTCTCCAAGAGGGCTCCACTCCTGTGCAGACTTCTGCCGGGACATCCAGTCATTTCTATACATCCTCTGAAATCTAGGTGGAGATTCCTCTGGGCCTGTGATGGAAGGGGCTGCTGTGAAGGTCTCTAACATGGAGACCTGTTTATAATTATAATTGTAATCCCCACATGTTGAAGGAGGAACTTCAACATGTGGGGATTACAATTTAAGATGAGACTTGGCTATTAACATTCAGCTCCTTGTTACTTATGCCAGTTTGTGCAGCTGGCTTGAATTCCTCCACAGAAAATAGATTTTTCTTTTCTAGAACATGGTCAGGTTGCAAATTTTTCAAACTTTTATGCTCTGCTTCTCTTTTAAACATAAGTTCCAATTTCAAACCATCTCTTTGTGAACACATATAACTGAATGCTTTCAGAATAAGTCAGGTCACATCTTGAATGCTTTGCTGCTTAGAAATTTCTTCTGCCAGATACTCTAAATCACCTCTCTCAAGGTCAAAGTTTCACAGATCCATAGGGTAGGGGCAAAATGCCACCAGTCTCTTTGCTAAAGCATAGCATGAGGGACCTTTACTCCAGTTCCCAATAAGTTCCTCATCTGCATCTGAGACCACTTCAACCTGGACTTCATTGTTCATATCACTATCAGCATTTTGGTCAAAACTATTCAATGAGTCTTGAGGAAGTTCGAAATGTTCCCACATCTTCCTGTCTTCTTCTGAGCCCTCCAAACTGTTCCAACCTCTGCCTGTTACCCTTTTCCAAAGTTGCTTCTACATTTTCTGGTTATCTTCATAGCAGTACCCCACTCTTGGTGCCAATTCTCTGTATTAGTTCGTTTTCACACTGTTATAAAGATATTACCTGAGACTGGGTAATTTATAAACAAAAGAGGTTTTAATTGACTCATGATTTTGCATGGCTGGAGAGGCCTCAGGAAGCGTATAATCATGGTGGAAGGCAAAGGGGAAGAAGGCACCTTCTTCACAAGGCAGCAGGAGAGAGTACACAGGGGAAACTGCCACTTTTAGAATCATCAGATTTCATGAGAACACCCTCATTATCACAAGAACAGCATGGGGGAAATGGCCCTCATGATCCAATCACCTCCCACCAGCTCCCTCCTTCAACATATGGGGATTACAATTCAAGATGAGATTTGGGTGTGGACACAGAGCCAAACCATATCAGCAGCTTAAAATTTTTTTCCTTATCATGTCTATTATCCATAAAGTCTTTTGCCAACATTAAAAACTTTATTGTCTTACTGTCTCTGGATTGGGCTCATTTTAGATCTGAGAAGCAATAATTTATTATTTTAATAACAAAAGCTATCTTTTTAGTTTCTTGTATGTGTTAGGTCCTTTAACTTATTTAATTTCAACAAAAACACTGTTTGGTATCTATGTCATCTCTGACTTGCAGATAAGAAAACAGACCCAGAGAGGGTACTTAAGTTGTCTGAAGCCAAAAAGGAGAAGTAAGCATCAAATCCAGATTAGTCTAACTCCATAGTCAGTGCTCTACAACTATGGCAGATATGTCCCCAGGCATATCCCTTTGGCACCTTACCAACTATTCCATGCACACCAGCAGCATTCTCCTGTAAGCACCCATAATTCTCCACCTGCACATGGCAGGCCAGGAATACTAAGAATTTAATGTTACAGAGAACGGTCCTCAATCAATGTGGAATGAGAGTGGAGAACAGATACTCCTACTTCCTCACTTCTTGGGTAGAAAAATTCTGAGAAGTGTTCCAGAGGTCCCCAGCAAAATTCACACCCCGCCTTACTGATGCTTCTGGAATCACCTCCTGAAAACACCATTTGCATTTAAATCCTTGCCTGAGAATCTAATTCTGGTGCAACCCGGCCTAAGATAATACCACATTCTGTCAGTTTCCCTTCCAGCCTTAGCTCAGAAGTTATCTGAAAGGTCACCCAGTACAGTCTTCTACATCATTGACAGACAACCATCAGACTCTGCTTACATAATTCCAGGAAAATAATGCTTAATATTAACATGACAACCTATTTCCTTTTCCTTTTTTTTTTTTTTTTTTTGAGATGGAGTCTCACTCTGTCTCCCAGGATGGAGTGTAGTGGTGCGATCTCAGCTCACTGCAACCTCTGCTTCTCAGGTTCAAACCATCCTCCACCTCAGCCTCCCGAGTAGCTAGGATACAGGTGCAAGCTAACACACCCAGCTAATTTTTGTATTTTTAGTAGAGATGGTGTTTCACCATGTTGGCCAAGCTGGTCTCGAACTCCTGGCTTCAAGTGATCAGCCTACCTCAGCCTCCCAAAGTGTTGGGAATACAGGCGTGAGCCACTGCACCCGGCCATGACAACCTATTTCAACCGAGGAAGGTGCTACCTGTGAGCTAGTTCTTACTTGTATTCCATAGAACTATTCTTTCATGTAACATAAAACTTTGCATTGTAGTTCAATTATCTAGAGCTAGTTCAAGGTTATGTTCTTTTTCACGTGCCAATCTTTTGCATATTTGAGGAGAGCTATCCAGTCTTCTCAAAGCCTTCCTTATTCCATTTTTTCAATGTTTACTTGTGTTTCAATGTTCAAATGCTTAAGCACCTGATTAAGAGAATACCAAAAACTCTGAAAATGGCTTTTAAGAGTTATGTGATATAATCCCCCTTCTTGAAGTAAGGCTAGATCTAATCATGAAACACAGATGGTAAAACTGTAAATCTGAACTGAATATAATTTTTGCACTTTTTTTTCGGGCCACTGCCCAGAATTATATTATGTCCCCTTATCCCCCACCTGCAATGCTATTTCTTAATTATCAAGTAGAAAAAGAGGGCTAATTGGAATTCATCCATGGTATAGCAATTTGAAGTAAATATTTAAATTCATTTTTATGAGATTTTCAGTTTTCAGGTTTGGCAATGATGAAAAGCACCCAGATTCTGGGAGAAAAAGAATGTGATTGCTGTCTCATTCTGTGGTCATACTAATAATAGAAAATGTCTTTTATTCTTTGAAAAAAAAACTGCCCAAATTTGAAGAATTCAAAATTAACATAAAACTACTTATTTCATAAGTGTTGGCATTATCAGATTTCAAAAAAATCAACTACTGTCCATCACTATGTACAAATCTATGTCATTATGTGAGTATCATCTATCCATCTCTAAGCCATTTACAATAAATTCATCTTTTATTCATCCTGTGGCTATGTATCGGGCATTTTGTGCCATATCCAACATAGCCATTTTGGAAAGGGATATCTTAAAAATGTATGTATTTCAGCCTTTTGCTTTCCTGCCTTTCTGTTAAGGTCTTGTAAAATTGTTCGATTTTGCAACTGCAAAGTATGTTTAGCATTAACATTTTCAAGTGTGTCTCTTAGGCTTATTCTAACATCCATCCTCTATTTAAAAATAGGTAAATGATCAGCTTTTGAGTAAGCTCAATCCTTATAGGGATTGTGAAGAATATAACAACATTTTCCCATTTCCTCTTGGATATCATGCTCCTTTTCTCCATCATGGCAGATCAGGCAACTTATTCCTCTCTCTCTGCTTACATGTTCTTACTAAATTGCCTTATATAAATCATTTACACCTTAGACATACTAAAATTAAAACAATATATAACGTCTTTACTTGATGTGAATTGAAAACGTCTTGTCCACTGCCAAATGTATTTTAAAAATCAATCCAAGGATATGGGAAATATGTGGAAGTGGAGTGCTCTTCCCCCACCCTTGAAACAATCTATAATTACTCAGCCACCAACACAGAAGGCCAGGTCTTGTTTAGAAACATTAGAGATTTGTATAAGAATGAGGTTGTGAATATACTCTAAGGATGCTCATAAGCCCAGGACTGGTCTGACTGCATCAGCATCATGGGGGTGTTTACAAAATACAAATCCCTGGGATCCACCCCTAGAGATTATTATTTTGAGGGTCTGGGGAAGGTAGAGAGAAAGGAATAAAGGGAGAGGAGGGAGGAAGAAAGAGAAGAAGAAAAGAAAGTGAGCAAATAATTGTGATGATATGGTTTGGCTCTGTGTCCCCACCTAAATTTCATGTTGAATTGTAATTCCCAGTGTTAGGACAGGGACCTGGTTGGAGGTGATTGGATCATGGGGGTGGAATTCCCCCTTGCTGTTCTCGTGATAGTGAGTTCTCATGAGGTCTGGTTGTTTAAAAGAGTGTAGCACTTCCCCCTTTGTTCTCTCTCTCCCGCTTTGCCATGTGAAGAAGGTGCTTGCTTCCCCCTCCACCATGATCTAAGTTTCCTGAGGTCTCCCCAACCCTGCTTCCTATACAGCTGGTGGAACTGTGAGTCAATTAAACCTCTTTTCTTCATAAATTACCTCGTCTCAGGTGGTTTTTATAGCAATGTGAGAATGGACTAATACATGTGATAAACTTCAGGTTCAATGTTTAGTAATGATGTCTGAGTCAAGCTTATGAGAATTCCTCCTGCACAGTATGTTATAAAAGTTTTTCCGCTCACATACAATGCTGTAACAAGCATTCCTACTTGGGTGTGGGAGGGCAGTAATGATGACAGAGGGGTATGATAATCATCCTGCTTCATAGAAAGCAAAGTGTAGTCTTTCCCCAAGTCAGTTATCATTACAAGTCCAGGTTTCATATATAAAACCAAGAATTTATAACATTAACATAACATTTAAATAAGGCTCTGAGCATTTGAGCATAGATTTTAATCTTCATTCTCTTCCAAATTGATATTTGTTGAGGTTTCTCTGGAACCTCATGTCAGATTTACTAGTTATGGCGCTTTTGTTATTGTACTTCCCAGATACTCTTAGAAACATTTAGAGCCTTGTGCAAAGTTTTCTAATGGGAATCAAGGAAACTCTTTGCCATAATAGGGCTGAGACTTCAGGCCTTGTGGGCTTCAGCCCTTTTCCCATCTTCAGCTCTCTCTTGCCTAATCTGGTGGTCCTGTACAGAAGTACATGAAGATATTCAACTAGAATATTCTAGTTAGAGACCTGCCATGATCAAAGGTGTGTTTGTCTATGTGAAGCACATGCTATCTTGTCTCTGATCCCACAGAGAATACTCTCCATACTGATTATTAAAATGCTTTTATATTTACAAATGTACTCTGTGAGTAAGCTTCATCATTACCACCTCCTCCTCTACACCCACCTCTTCCCTTGGTGTTTTCCTCTTCACTTTTCTCTTTGCCCAGTTCTGACCGTGTCTTATTTTCCCGACATTCCCACAGCCTAATACTGTTGTCTTATTCTTCATAGACCTCTCATCCTCTACCTCCACAAATATATCTCACATCTCTACATGACTCACTCTTTTTCCTTGATCTTTTAGACTTTCCCAAAGAAAGCACTCTCATACTCAGTGTCTGGTTGTTCTCTAATCTTCAGTTTTCCCTCCGAACATCTCACACAGGAGCCTGTTGTAACACTTTTGTTCTGTGTTATTTAGTTGTACTGCATTTTCTTAGGAAAAAAACACTCAAAAATCCATTATTCTACTTTGTTTCCTTTCTTTTTCTCCCTCCTATTTCAGTAAATCATAATGCATTTTAGAGCTTATTTTCATTTTCTAATATTACAAACACAAGGAAAAAAAATGCAGAGTTTTTCCTTCCTTCAAAAAGAGCCCAGAGCTGATAGTGTTAGAGATATAGTCCAATTTAAGTTCTATTGAAAGTACAGTGTAGGCTTGGGGTGTTCTATAAATATCAGCCACATTTCCCAAAGCTGTCCATGGTTTATACAGAAGACCCCAATTAAACTCAAAACAGCTGAAGGAATAAACCTGTCAAAAAATTCATTTATCATGTACCAGTCAGGTTAGACCATGGAATAAGTCAAATTCTAATTTCCTTAAAGTCATTGAGTCTTCATATTTTGATAAAGTCATGTCCTAAATAGTGAACCCATTTGGTTTTAAACAGTCATATAAACAAGCTTTTTATTTTAGCGGTGCTTGTTCTCATTTGTTTAATTTGATCACACATTTAGGGCAATCAAATGTAAATGAAATCTCCTCTCTCTAAACCTGTAATGCTTTCTGTCACCTCTTCTTTGATATCTAACACATAGACGTTGACTCCCTATGTCAACCTTTGTTTCCTATGTTTCAAAATATTATGACAGGGCTTGAGTCAAAAACGGTGTGCTAAGTTTCAAACCCCTAGTCCCCTAAGGATATCTAGGTTAGAGTGTGGGAAAAAGTGTAGGAGATGACAGTGCTGAATACAGAGTGACTCTGGATTTTCATGAGCAGGTTTATATTCTGTTTACCAAGAGTAGGTAGTCACAAGTTATGGAGAAGAAACATAGTGGCAGTGACAGGTGACTGTCAATAGAATCTAGCTAAGGCCAAAATTTGCCTTAGCAGGCTGAGGTGTCTCCATGGAATAAAATGCTCTGATTTGAAAGATTTATTTCCAAATAAGCTAGTCTTCTGATAAAACTGTCCCTTTTTATTTCTCTAGTTCTGGTACAATGAGTTAAATTCTTATGATTCTTAGCAGGGATTGGATATGAACACTATCTTTGAATTAACAGGACAAGTTTCTCTGAGTGATGTCCTACACAATAAAGACAGAAAGCCAGAATCATTCTTAAACTTCTAAATGTGAGTCCTAGCTTTAATATTAAGTGTTCACACAAAAACTTTCTGTTTCCTTTTAATACAATCACTTCTTTGTCAATGGGCTTTCCCAAGTTTATCACCCAAGAATATTGGCAATAAAGAGCTGGAAATATCAAAATTCAGTAGTTTTATTCCCTATGTTTCCTCACACTATGCCATCCAGGCTGTCCCTCTTTGTATGCTATCTTTTAAACCAACACTATTATTTCAAGAAAGAACGTGGACAACCCTTTAAATTTGGTCTTGGATTTGTTTTAAGAGCAGATTTCCCAACATGACCTCAGAAGCAGCACTGCCAGTTCTTCTTGTCCATTAGTATTTGTGTTCAGTGTCCTGAAAAAAATGTCTATTTTGCCAATTAGTTCACACTCATTTGGACACATACCTGACCAAGAGAAAGATGTCTTCTAATCCACTAGAGCTGAAGGACCAAAAAACTGGAAATGCAATATTGAGTTGGGAATATTTTGGAACTAACCACACAAATTATTTCTATGTATTCACCATAGCAGGTTTTCCCAACATATTTAGCAATGAATAGCACAGTCAGTGACATCTGAACCTCTAAGCTCTTTTACATCATTTCAATAATTTATCTCATCCAACTTTGCTCATTTCTTTAATTTTTTTTATTAGACTGAGTTTTCCTACATTTTATCTAGCTTCCAAGCAACCAGCATTAATCCTTCATCCATTCAAGCACCTTACTTGGTACTAGGATTATATCCCTGCCTTCAATTTCCTTTTGAAATATTCATTACTTTTCCTGCTGTTTAAAATTGTAAAATATTTCTGATATGCACATTTAGCCTGAGGTAGATGAATGCGATTCTATAGAATGAAACAACAGGGTATGACAGTTCTGCGGAAAAAAAAAAGTCATTTGAAATTAGCTTTCTTAGAAATCTATTAACCCTTCATTTATGTCTGCTGAACATTCCATATAAAACACAATGCACTGCTGACATAATCTCTGTGCTGTTTTATTCTTTAATGAACAAAAAATAAAACTAAAGGAGAGAAATTATCCGATGGGGTAATATTTGAGAGCACAGTTAACATTTTAATTTCTTTTTGAGCATTGACAAATTTGCCCATATATTGAGGAAGTGGTTCTTAATTAATTCGTTGATTCAGAATGTTATTAAGCCCCAACATGAGCCAGGTACTGTGCTAGGTACTGAGGTATACAGCATTTAAAGACAACCCCCCACTCAAGTAGCATCTAAGCCAGTAGGTAGAGAGAAAAAATAATTATAATACCACATGTGCTACAAGTTAAGAGCAAGCTAAGAACAAGATGCCAGTTTAGGTGATGAGAAAAGGACTTCTTCAGGACTGAAGAAGTAAGAGTAAGGCAGGTAAAGAAAGGGAGAAATGGTATTTCAGCCAAAGGGAACAGTATAAACAAAGGTGCAAACGCTGGAGGATAAATTGCATGTATGGGAGTGGCTAAATTCAGGATGGCCTCCATCATCCAGGATGCTTAAGCTTGCAATTGGTGTGCTTGCCTCAGATTTGCCAAATAACTTATTTGTGATATGGACAAGCATTAGAATAATGTAAAACAAAACACTAAGTAGGATTTCTACTGTCTGCATATACAGATGACTTTAAACTTCATGCACTTGACTACTTCACAGTGGTACTTGTTTGTGAATGCATGTGACAGGAACAGACAAAAAAATTATTTACCTGATAAACCAGTTTTACATTATCAACATGGAGGAGTAAGAATATGTTCTTTAGGAAAATTATTTAGGCAAGACCATTGTCTTAGAGCCATGGTTCTCAAACTTTCGGGTACACCAGAAAAACCTGTAGTCCTTGTTAAAATACAGATTGCTGGGCTCCATCCCCAGAGTTTTTGATTTATCAGATATGAGGTAAGGGCTGAGAGTGTGCATTTCTAACAAGTTCCCAAGTGATGCTGATGCTGCTGCTCTTGGGCCACACTTGGAGAAACACTGGTCTATAGACTTTTTTGAAGATATGGCAGTTACAGAGCTGAAAATATCAAATCACATGAACTCTTATGTGTTAACCATAAATCAGAGTTTAATGCTCCCAAAATAACAGATTGCACCCAAGATGTTTTCTAACTGAAGCCTAGGGCCCTTAATTCTCTAGCCCATTTTAGTCATTCCCCAGCCCCCCACCTTTTTAATTTTGTCCTCTGGGCATCAAAAAGCAATGCGATTTTAATAATTTATTCCCACACTAAAAGCCTTCTTGTTGACGAACACACTCTCTCCTGTACTCTGGTGCTTTCTGAAATATTGTTATGTAAGGAACAAATTATTCCCAAATTTAAGCAGATGTCAACAGCTATTACCCTTGTGAAAGCTGCTTGTGAAAGTGTAGAGAGTGGCTTTAGTGTTTTCTCTTTCCGGTGAAGGGGAAATCAGGCAAAATAAATGTCAGTTTGAGGGTCTAGAAACTGGTGGTTGAATTTAAATAATGAAATAAAATGTCAATACTTTCAGGGGAAATTTGTCTTTTTATAAAAGACTTCCTTTTCTTCCCAAAACATATATGGCATTTTGGCTAAATTAGCTTTAGCTAACATATCCACTGAGCACATTCACATAAACCTTCAAGAAAACCAAGCCTCCGAGTAGCCTCAGGTTTTTTAAATGACAAAATGGTTATGGCGAAAGAAAACATAAGCAGTGAAGCTTCATTTTCACCCAGAAGAGCTTGCTCCCCACTTGCCTTGTTATGAAACCTTGCTGGCTGAGGGAGCCTCTGGGACAATGACTCCACAGTTATTTTAAGTATCAGTGTGGGAGGGATGGGGGATGGAATGGACACAGGGCTGATAAATTCCCTTTCCCCACCCCTGGAGGAGAGGAACTCTGGACAGGATGCTGCCTTATTTACTTGGTGAAAAGCATTTGTGGAATACATTAGATTTGGCCTCTGGCAAAGGGAAAAAAAGAGAACATTAAGTTGAAAATGTTTCCATTTGTTCATATTTTTGAAGCAAAACCACACAGCAAGAAACAGGATATATTTTTAAAAACATTTTTAATGAATATATCGCCATTCATTCATCTCTTTCCTGTTTCAGTGCTCTTGATAAATTGAGCTGAAATAGCTGCATAGCTCTTATCATCTGTGTGAAATTGAGACTGTCAGAGGCATGATCAACAGCAGCCTAAACTAAGCCAAGTTAGAAGCAACAGATTTCACTCTGGGCAATATTTTCTTTTTACCTAGAACAAAATATACTATTTGCAGATTTCTTGATGAGGTGATTTCTCCTAGGAAACTTGTCCATGTCAGAACTTCTTTGACTAGCCGTTTGCACAGGGACTCCTCTCTTCTTTGCTGCCCAGTATACCAGGTCAGGAGTCAGGAGCCCTATACTTCTTTCACGAGGCCCTCCCAGAACATCAAATGAAAGAGGGTCAGAAAAAGGCAAAAACAAGTGTGATAGCCTACCTCTTTAATGTCACAACCCTGACATTTGAATCGTGTGATTTAAATGTAGCCTCATAAATTTTAGATGCAAGCCATAATTACCTAAAGAGTATCATAAGATTATAATACTTAAAGAAAATATCTCTGGCAACAGAGAAAACGTTTGTCAAATGCATAAGCATCAAAAATAAATGAAGTATAAGTGGATTAGTGTGAGTATCCAGGCTATAGAGTTTGAGATAACCCAACACAAAATAATTTTTTCTATTTTTTAATATACTGCAAATTATTCATAACTAATGGCCTTGTAGAATAAATTGTATTGCTATTAAACCATAGTGATAACTACTGTGTTTCATCAATTCTAAGGTGCACTTTATGTTTTTAGAGATTAGGGTCTCACTATGTTGCCCAAGCCGAACTCGAACTCCTGGGCTCAAGCATTCCTCCTGCCTTGGCCTACCAAAGTGTTGGGATTACAGGCATAAGCCACTGTGCCTGGCCTAAGGTGCACTTTTTAAAAAACATTTTTACATCTCTGAAATCAGGATGCATCTTATATCAATGGTCTAATGGTTTTTATTGGCATCATTTTTCTTTGTTAGTAGTACACAAAACAACAATGCATCTTATATTTAATGGTATCTTCTACTTGGTGATATGTGCAATTATCTATGGTAGGAAAGAATTTAGCATGAAGCACTTCAACTAACAAATTATATTTTGAGTCACAAGTGCAAGGCATTGGGTTGAGATGATAAGGAGGCAAAGATAAATATAATGTGTCCCTGATTTCAGAATTAACAGTATAGTAAGGAACCCCATATAAACTACTAAATAAGGGTAAAATGTAGTGCTGTGGAAGCACAGAGGAAGGAGAAATCATCCTGATTAAAGGATCAGGGAAGGTTCATGGAGGAGGTGACTTTTGAGATGAATCTTTAAGGATAAGAACACTTCTATCATGCGCATTCAGTGTGGAGGTATATAGATACAGAAGGTTGAAGGAGTAGAATCCAGCCTAAGGAAAAAGAGAAGCAAACCTATGGAGTATGGAAATTACTTAAGAACTATCAGAAAGTTGTGATATTTACCGAGTAATGAAACCAACTGGCAAGTTCAGTTTGAGTGGATAGAGGGGGTTGGAAGTAGATTGGTTGGGTCACATAGTTTGAGATATTGGTAGGATATTGTAGTGGACATTTGGACATTTGGCATTTTTGAGCACCCACCCCACACTGAATAATTTCTCCATTGTATAAGTTTTGTTGGAAGGTAGAGTCCACTTCCCACTTCCCATTATAGAAGTAAGAAAGGCCAAATACTTGCTTTCCTGCCTTTCTTGCTGCTAGAGTACAGTTGAGAGACCTAGCTTTGGTCAAATAGACAAATCTGCACAACGAAGATTTGAATCTGGAGTTACTTATGCAAAAATGCAAAACCAAGGGAGAATTCTTTTAAAGACAATGGCAGCATCAAGATTCAACGTCCATTAGAAGCTGCAGTCTCCACTGCAGTCTCAGTGGTGGTAGCTGCGTTGTCTTCACAGCACTGGTTCTGCTGAGTGACTTTGACCAAAGTCCCAGCTATGTAACCTCCCTATAGTTTGCTTGTTTTTCAACCTGAACATTTTTCTCTACCTTTCCCAGGGATACTGGAAGATAGCCATTGTATTTTCAATAGTTTGCTTTTCTGTTTAAGAGTCAGTTTCTGTGGTTTGCAAAATAAGAACCCTGGGTGCTACAGACATACACCAGATGTCTGACAAAGACTTGGAAAATGAGCACACAGCACAAGAGGAAAGTTGATCTAGATAATTAGACAGGGGAATCATTTGACTGGGACTGAAAATTAAAGCTAAGGGAGAAAATACAGACATAGGCAGAGAAAAGAGGGAGGAAGGGAATAGCATCATTTTTGTGGGAGAATGAAGCAGGAACACTTAGCATCTGTGGGAGAAAGTAAAGAGCAGTCAGAGAGCCATAGAAAACACATATCCTGAGGGCCTGCTATGTGCTGAGTATTTTACATAAGCTAATTCATTTAATATTTACAAAAACTGAGTTACATATTGCTATCCTGGATTAACACATGAGAAAAATTTGATGCATAGATATTAAATAACTTTCTGAAAGTCACATAAATAATAAGTGGTGTGAACAGAATTCAAACTCAGATTTGTCTGATTCCAACATTACACTGCTTCCCTGTCAGAAGCTTTAGAAAAGGACATAGATGCCAAAGATAAGACCTTAGTTTGGTGGTTCTTAACCCTGGCTGCACATTGTAATAACCTAGGGAGATATAGAAACTGCTAATGCCTAGGTCCCACTCCCAAAGTTTCTGTTTTAACTTGTCTGGGGATTGGGGATTGGGACTTTTAAAAGCTTCCCAAGTAGTTCCAGTGTGTAGCCAAGGTTAAGAGCCATGGTGGTATTTCAGCATAACAGTGAAATGGCTTGAAGAGTGAGTGGGATGTTAGGCTACAGAGGCAGCAAGTGCTCAAGTGGCATATTGACAGGAAACAGTACAGTGAGTGGAAACAGATTTGAGGGATACAAGTTTGATGTGGGTTGAAAAGAGACTTGGAAGTAGACACAGAGAAGGTAAGTATAGACTATTCTCACAGTGAGAGACAGGACTGGCTGGATTTCCTAGGCCGACTAAGAATTCCTAAGCCTAGCTGGGGAAGGTGACCGCACCCAACTTTAAACACAGGGCTTGTAACTCAGCTCACACCCGACCAATCAGGTAGTAAAGAGAGCTCACTAAAATACCAATTAGGCTAAAAGCAGGAGGCAAAGAAATATTCAATCATCTATCGCCTGAGAGCACAGGGGGAGGCACAATGATCAGGATATAAACCCAGGCATTCGAGCTGGCAGTGGCAACCCTCTTTGGGTCCCCTCCTGTTGTATGGGAGCTCTGTTTTCACTCTATTAAATCTTGCAACTGCACACTCTTCTGGTCCATGTTTGTTCCAGCTCAAGCTGAGCTTTCACTCGCTGTACACCACTGCTGTTCGCTGCTGTTGCAGACCCGCAGCTGACTTCCACCTCTTCGGAAAAAATATTTTTGTGTCAGACAGGGCTGAGATATGTGGTGGAAAAGTAGTGAGGGGAACTTGAGGAAAGCAAAAAAGTAGAATTGGAAAAATGTGGGTAAGAAATGGATTAAGGGAGTCAAAACGAAAGAGTAAAATAATGTTCACTTGAGATCATATAAAAAAATTTAAGTGCAATAAATCATCAAGGTTACATGGATTTCTCAAAAAATACTTGTAAGTCTTGAGAAGGTAAGAAAATGCATAATGGAGTTGACCCACAGGTGGAGATCATCCAGGCTGATCAAGTGATGGGTAAGGGAGTGAGGAAATTTGAGGTGCTACTGAGATAACATACAAATGTACATTTGATATCAAAGCAACACTATTTACTTTGACATGAAGTTTAGTGTATTAAAATGTAATAAGCTTCAATACCTCATATGGCACATAAAATATATGAAATCCAAAATTCGTATTGAAATCCAAATGCATTCAGTGACAGATAATGATGACTCTAAAAGAGGAAGAAGTTGTGGTTTCAAATCAAGAAATGATGCAAAGTGATTAGACTAGTGACCAGAGGCCTAAATAATTAACTTGGTAATTGATCTTCCTTCCTTACAGACAGGCCACATTTCAGATACTGGCCAAACATATAGATTACATATAAAATCATTTCATTACAGAATGCTAGTTCTATAGATTATGCCTCTTCTAATTCAATGAAAAAAGGAACAGTTTTTTAAACATTGCTCAAGTTGATGCCTCTGTTCACTTCTCTTAATTCAGATCCCTGAATGCTCTAACTTCCCAACCATTTCTCAAACCTCATTCTAGCCACAGACCACTTCATAGAAGTTTTATTGGTGACACAATTTTTTGAGAATGTTCCTCCAGGCAACCAAGGCATTGAGTTTGGTGCTTTCCGTTCTTTAGAGTACTCTCTTTAGACTCTGAAATTTGGCACAAAAGGTACCCTCTACCTAGAATGTGCTTCCTCCACTCTCATCCCTCACTCCCGCCTCCTTTCTTTGGTCTTTTGATTAGACAACTTGTTCAAGACTCCATTGAAGTATCACTATCCTGGGTAGCCTTTCTCTAGACATATGCTCCCATAATACCCTGATCCTACTTTCTACTCATTCCTTGCATCCCAGCTGTAATTATTTGCCCAGAGTCTGCTGCTCTGCTAAACTATAAGATCTGTAAGGCAAGGACCATGCCTTCCAAGTCATAAGTATTCAATAAATATTTGTTGAGTATTTGAATGAGGGAGTAATTGTAAGTGGAAAATGGATGGTATGGGAGAGAAACTAAGGCAGGAAACCTCACTTAGGAAGCTATCATAGTCAACAGATAAAGCAGACACCTACATTTCTTTCATCCTTTACCATTTTCATACATACCAGCCCCCAATGTGCTTTCCTCTAAACAGCCAGCACCGGCATTTCTGTTGGTCTGAGGGCTTCCAGAGCCTTTCTTTCGCCTGTTCTCATGGAGATCAGGAAGGACCTGTGAATTGACGTCCCTTAGGGGCATTCCTTAGCTAATGACTGACAAGTACAAAACTATAAATACTCCAGCTCCCTTTTCTAATTCAAAAACAGACGAAAGTAAACAATAGATTGCTTAGGGATATGTAAGTTCCAAACTATAAAGAAAAACAAAGAAGTGATTAGACAAAATTCAGGATAGTAGCTATCTCTCTGAGGAGGAGAAGGAGGAGGATGTAAATAGGCAGGTATATGTAAGGGATTCTATGATACTGCTAACATTCCGTTTCTTGAGCTGAGCATATGATGTTCATTTTATTGTTTTTTCAACTGTATATATGTTAGAAGAAGAAGAAGGAAATGGTCCAGTAGGTTGAAAAGGAGACAGCTACAGAAAAAGTTTTCATATAGGAGGAGTATTGAGATGGTTGTAGACCGAAAGCAAAGAACAAAAGCTAAGGGAGAGAGGGTATGATGAGGAGGTAAGTCTAAAGAGAAGTAAAGCAGATTGCACTAGCCTTGGGAAAATATTGCAAGATATATGACACAGCAATCCCATTCCTGTGTCCCAACAGAAATTAATACATGTGTTCACCAAAAGATGTATAAGAGGATGCTTATAGTAGAAATGAAGTTCTGATGCATGCGACATTGATGAATCTTGTAAACATTATCCCAAATGAAATAAGCCAGTCACAAAAGGACAAATATTGTATGATTCCACTTATATAAGGTATATAGAGTAGTCAAATTCATAGAGACAGAAAGCATAATAGAGGTTACCAGGGGCTGGGATGAGAAATGCAGAGTTATTGTTTAAGGGTTACAGAGAGTTTCTGTTTGGGTTGATGAAAAATTTCTGGAAATGAATAGTTGTGAGGGTTGCACAACATTGTGAGGGTGCTTAACGTTGCTGAATTGTACACTTAAAATGGTTAAAATGATAAATTTTGTTATGTATGTTTCACCACAATTTAAAAATTAACTTTAAAAAAGTATGCTTGTAGTCGCACTAGACTTAATATCCTCAACTTGAAACAATTCTAATGTCCATTATCAGTGTAGTGGATAAATAGGCCGGGCGCAGTGGTTCACGCCTGTAATCCCAGCACTTTGGGAGGCCGAGGCGGGTGAATCACGAGGTCGAGAGATCAAGACTATCTTGGCTAACATGGTGAAACCCCGCCTCTACTAAAAATATAAAAAATTAGCCGGGCATGGTGGCGGGCGCCTGCAGTCCCAGCAACTTGGGAGGCTGAGGCAGGAGAATGGCACAAACCCAGAAGGAGGAGCTTGCAGTGAGCCGAGATTGCGCCACTGCACTCCAGCCTGGGCGACAGAGCAAGACTCTGTCTCAAAAAAAAAAACAACAACAACAACAACAAAACAATATATATATATAGTAATACATTCACACAATGGAATACTATATGGCTTTGAAAGTGAGCAAATTAAAACTACACACAGCAACATGGATATATCTCACTGACATAAGTTTGAGTGAAAGAAGCTAGAGGCAAAAGAGGACGTACTGTATGGCTCCACCTACATAAAGTTTCCATATAGGTAAAATTAATCTTTGATAGGTGAGGGGAAATGTGCAACTGGAAGGGAACGTGGGAGGAGGGCTTCTGTGGTGCAGGTAATGTGTGGGTGTTTCCCCTTGTCATCCCTTCTCCAGGATAATCTTCTAAATATTTTAAAGGACTATTTATATGACATGCTCTTCATATCTTTCACAGTCATGAATCTTGCAAAGACAAGGATCATATCCACCTTGTCCACTACACAGCCAAGAGGTAGTTTTTATATATGCCCATCATCTAGCAAAGTGACTGGCACAGAGAAATTACATACTGAATATATGTTGAATGAATGAAATAAGGAAAGAAAGTAATTTGATGTTATCATTTATTATTAGTGGAAGTTCTGGTGATAAGGAATAGAATAGATATTAATAAAAGCAGGCTCTGAGAAAAAGTCTTATACTTACTCACTCCCTCTACCATACCAGAATGCCACAAAAGAGCTCTCCACATTTCTCCTTTGCTAAGATGGAGTTTTGGAGAAGAGAGGAAGGAGGGTGATTTTTCATCTTCTTCATGGTTATCAACATCATATTAAGGATTTACTATTTTCCAGACTTCATTCCAAGTGCATTAAGTAGATTATTTCATCTAATCCTCATAAAAATTCTTTGAGGCAGGTTCTGTTAGCATTTTCCGTGTATACATGAGGAAATTGGGACTTGTAGAAGGTTGATGACAAAGCTAACATCACAGTGATAGTAAGAATGAAAATGGGGATTCCACACTAGGTTTAAGTCTTTGCTTTTAACTCAGAACCATGCTCTTAAACATTTCATTTCCAATCAACTAGAAGGCAGACACCTCAATGTAGTTCCTCTACTCTTGGAGGACTGGCTCAGGTCTACATTAGTTTGCTAGGGCTACCATAACAAAGTACCACAGTCTGGGTGGCTTAAATAGAAATTTATTATTTTTACAATTCTGGAGGCTAGAAATCTGAGATCAAGGTGTTAGCAGGGTTGGTTTCTTCTAAAGACTCTCTCCTTGGCATATGGACAGCCATCTTCTTCCAATATCTTCGGATGGTCTTCCCTTTGTGTATGCCTGGGTCCAAATTTCCTTATCTTATAAGGACACCAGACATACTGGGTCAGGACCCACCCATATGACCTCATTTTACCTTAATTACCTCTTTAAAGGTCCTGTCTCCAAATACAGTCACATTCTGTGGTACTAGGGGTTAGAATTTCAACATATAAACTTTGGGGGGACCCAACTCAGCCCATAACAGGAGCTTTTATTACCTGCACCAAGCAACTAGAAATTTGAGATCACATCTGTACTGACCAGCAAGGATCTGTGAATAAAATTCAAGGGTTTTGTGAACATAAATGAGAGGAAGTCAGATCTTTATTTTCACAAACATTTAAATAAAATTTAGTATTTCCTTTAAACATGAATGCCAGCAACAAACTACACTAGCTGTATCTGTGACTTCATCATCAACAGAAGTCACAGATATTTTCATATCACATTACAGCTGTTGCAGACATCTCAGGGTTTATACTCATCATTACACTGAAATTATGACAGATTACAGATCCACTATTGGATCTGGATTTTTAACACATTAATAAATAAACACTATCTCACTATATCACGAAGTTGTTTCATAATTATTTCCATAACTGTATTTCAATATAATTGGTTTCCTTTGCAATCCTAAATAATTTATTTTACATATTTAAAAACATTATTCTGAGAAAGGGGTTTATAGACTTCATCATATTTCAAAGGGGCTCATGGTACGAAAAGATGTTTTTGAACCCCTGTCTGATGGATCTGACCACAGATGGCAGCCCAATTGAGATGAAAATAAGCCAAGTCATACAAGAAAAGATAAATAACCCATCACGTTGGGTTTAAAGTGTTTAATGCAATTTCTAATTTATTCATAATTTGAGATAAGGGGTCCTCACCGTGTATATTGTGTCTTTCAAAATACTAAACACTAAGATCCATTTTATTTTATGTCATCTCAGGCTTCAATTGTGCCTTCTCTTTCAGGTCCTCAACTTGGGTCCTGCCTTCTTTCTGCCCACCTTGCCCTTAAAGTCCTTGAGTTCTGATTCAGTGCTTTGGATTCATCAGCTAAGTAGTGTCCTTGAGGAAGCAAATGACCCAGGATTTTTCTGAAGAAAATGATGATCTGTTATCTGAGAGAGGGAAGGTACTGAGAGTAATGTGTATGGAGGCCTCTTGGTAGACATGACATTACCTGTTTCACAGCACCTTGAAATTTTTAACCATCACCTATCCCAGAACCCCAACAGCTATTTTTAAGCTCTTAGTGTCCTGCTATCTGTGGAGCAGCAGTGGATCTGGGTTTTGTGGGACTCTGAAGCCTATACACTCTGCGGGCTCTCTTTAAGAAAAAGGTTACAAAATTACAAATACAAAATTAGGCATGGTAACTTGGAAGGGACCAATGCAATTGGTGTCCCTGAAGCTTAAGTTATTTTTGCTTCTTAGTACACCTTCCTTTGTAATAGGGATTGTGATATAATAGAAATAATAACAGAAAGAGCATAATATTTGGAGTTAGGTTTCAAGTCTTAACCTATCACTTGCCAGCCTAGAATACTTACATGGTCAGAGAAACTGGAGATAATGAAGGGTCCCAGCAACTTGGGAGAATAGTAACCCAAGCATCTCCACGAAAACACCATCCTTAGAAGGTTATTCTGAGAATCTACTATGACAATTGATGTGAAGGGGCTTAATAAACTAAAGGTACTAATAAATATGTTAATTGTGGTCTTATTACACCCTAAGAAGTCTTTTTACAGAGATGTTTCTCTTTGCAGCTCTTTGGCCACCAGGCAAAACCTCAGATGAAGGAAGACTGCAGTAGAAGCGATGAGCAGTGTCCTTTCTGCATGGCTGGACCAAGATTAGAGTCAAAGTCACTGTATCTTCTACTATTTTCTTCTTGATTTGCATCCAGAATTGTCTCTGTACTAACTAGATTTTAATTAAAAGGAAGTGGAATAGTAAGATATAAATTTCCACTTATAAAATTAGCATATAGGTGGGAGTATTACAGTTTTCATGAAAAGCAATTTGAGAGACTGTTAAGAACTTAAAAGATGAACATAGATACCTATCCTAAGGAAATAATTAGAGAGACCAATTAACATATCGACAGGGCTATTTATTATTCTGAATAATTGAAAAACTAAATGTACAATGTCCAATATTAGATGAATGAATAAATTATAGCATACTAATATAATTACAGTATACTCAGATAATGAGCTAATATGAATTCATTAAAATAATACTTTAAAATACTCCTTTAAATGAATATATTTATAATACAATGTTATTTAAAAATGATGTGTAAAGTAAAACCTCTAGGTTGAAAGAAAATATGGGAAAAGGTTAATACTAGATATCTGTAGGTATCAGCATTAGGTAATTGCTACTTTGTTCCTTATTCTTTTGTGCATTTTTAAATTTTTCCACCATAGACATATAATTATTATAAAAACATTAATTTTAAAAGATGAAAGAACTCGATCTGAAAATGTAGATTCCTATTGCACATAAGAAGCTTGGTTTCAGATGCACTTCATTATTAATATTGGTTAACAAGAATAAGACGAATAACACTTTGCTGGCAAGTTCCTAGGATCAGGTTTGCTAGAATTTTAAAAAGTTCTCTGTCTGAGGGCAGTAGATGGGAACAGCTTAGTTTTATAAAGTGGTAAAAGAATGGGCAAATAGAGTCTGATTCTACCATCCTGTCTGCCTTTAAAATTGTGTGCGATTTGTGTTAACTGCTTGTGTTTGGTTGACAGATCAAGGGCCACCCTGCAGATCCTCAGATAGCAAGAACTTAGATGGTAATTTCAGTCCACAGCAGATGGGAACTGCTGGCACATAAGGTCACTCAAAATTGTAGTTGCTTTATCTCCATAGAGCTATGAAGAGAGGAAAGAAGCTATAAGCCTGCCATTAGATAGTGCATTTGGTTCATTCCAGAAAGCTCCTATTAGTATGTTCAATGGGCAAAGCACATACAAGTGTAGACTTTCAATTAAATTGCTCACAAAAGATCATCAGGATCAAGGTTAGAGAATGATAGCCAGGCCAAAAGTAAAGAAAAACAATGAATTGGGGGTATCCATATAGGTATAATACCATGAGGCCCTAATGATACAAAATGTGTATTAGCAAAATCATGCTTTACTGTTTTGCTACTTAGTAATTTTGGACCTTACATGATTCAGGATGCAATTTCAGTAAAATAAAAAGTTTAAAACATTGGTGGTAAAAGACTCAAAGTGTTCAAATTTGTCACGGCAAATTGCTTTAGAGATGAATTTTTCCTTTTAAGACTGAGATGGTGCCAACTTGTATAGGCAAAAAGAAAGTATTTCAGTAGTGGGGTTAAAGTATAAAAAATGTTTTTCAGATCTTAATAAGGTGATTAAGTCTACAAATAGGATACTTTTAAATGAGTAAAAAGTGATAAAGTCATAGAATGTGAATTAAATTTAGAATACATGAAACTCACTGGGCTCTGAGGATCATGGGTCATTTTTTCCTGCTTTTAGATGAATTTAATAAAGACCTTTGAAATTTTCATACCTCCTTTATAAGTCTTCAAAAAATGTTTAATTATGTAAAGGTAATAGCATCTTAGTCATATAATTAAGAAAATAAGAATAACAAGCAACATAGAATTGAGAAAAAACAGGAGTAACACAAAAAATCATTTAAAAGCAAGAAAAAAATCAGTCTACAACAATTAAGTTTGAATTCCTCTGCCCGACTTACTGAGCCCTTTAGAATTAAGCCTAAAATTAATGACTTGACATTGCTTCCCACCAAGACATCCTGACTTCTCTAATCAGGCTGTTCCCAAGAACAGCTATGTCCATTTATCAATGGGTTTTTACTCTCTTTTCTTCTATCACCTTCTTTTTTCCACATTTTTCAAGAACAAGCTCAAACTCTACTTTTGATCATTCTGAACAACCTATTTCTCAGAAACTCCAATAGTGGTGGTAATGATAATTATAATAACAAAAGCAACAATAATAACAGCCAGCCTTTAGTGAACACACACCATGTTCGAGACACTGTTTTAAGCACTACATGTGTATTACTTAATTTATAATAACTTTGTGCAGTTGGTACAATTATTATCACTACTTTACATATAAGGAAACTGAGGCAGAAAAGGTGAAGTAATTTCCCCACTAAGTAGCTAAGAAGTATTGAAGGCCACACACATTAGATTATATATAGTGTCATCTTTACATACATTGTCCCCTTAATTCTTACAACAGCACTATTAAGTAGATATTGTTATATCTCATTATGAATATGACAAAACTGAAGCTCAGAGAAGTTAAAGATATTTTTCTAGGTTACACAGAAAGTATGCAGCACATTAAGATTAAAACCTAAATTCCATGCCTGCAATGTCTTGATTCCAAAGCACTAGACTACAGTAAGGCCCTGAGGATCAGGGACACATCTTATCCTTTTGGACACAGTGCCCAGAAAAGAATTAAATAGATGGAAACTAAGTTGTTCCAAAAACATTTGTTCTAACAAGGGTCCTAAAAAGAAATACTGGAATAAGTTAGCCAAAATGATAACTTATTATTTTTTGCTTATGATGAAAAGTATGCCTTCCTCTAAAACCATAAAGCTCCTAAAAGTTAATTTGCTTTGTGTTAATATTTTGATGCATCTCTACATTTTTAAATCTAACTTCAAATTATTATTACATCAGCCATTCTGTCTCTGGTAAAATGAGGAAGGATAACATTGCCCCCAGGGTTGCTTTTTTTTGAAAGCTTTTTAGCTTGATATTTTGCTGTTTGTCTCTTGGCTTATTTCAGCCAGGATAGAAGAAGAGGAATGATTATTGTATGGGTGTATTTTTGCCTCATTTCCCTAGCAGTAGAACTATATATTTCACCTACCTATCAAGGGTTGAGAAACCTCAGCTTAGAAAAGTAAGTAAACACAACCAATTTTGAATAGAAAGGAAACAGATCAAGTTACACCTGACATTCAAGGAGCCCAAGGAAGTCAAGTCTCCACCAAGTAGAACAAACTGGAACCTAGTTCTTTCTGCAGCTCTTTGAAAGGAAGGTTTGGGGATACAGTTTTCTACATCTTTTGTCCTATTGAGGAAAGATGGGGAATCCATTATTGATATCAAGGGATTGGTGGAAATGAGAATGAAGTATTACTCTCGGAGTTGGAAGAGAACTTGGCTTTGTCAGTCATTTATGTTTAAATATCTTCCACAACATTCCCACCAACTGGTCACTGCCTATGCTTAAAAGCATTCCAGAGAATGTTTGAATTCCAAAGTTGACTCATTCCAGCGTTGGGCGGCTTTCATCACATCAGAGTAAAATATTTCTTCCTCCTCAGTTTCTCCATAGTAGTAAATTATTACTCTAAGATTAACATTACGGGATTTTATCATTATATTTATTATTGCTTTATACTTATGTAAAACAGTATCTTAGTGTGTATCTACTAACAAGATATTTGACAAGTATTTCCTACACATATAAAATTATGATAATAGGTACTGTTTATTGAACCATTATGATAAGAGTTAATGAACATTAGTTATTTTATTATTATTGAGCACTTAGGGGATCTATGAGGCATAGTGCTAAGCCTTATATTACACATTACATGTTATAGATACTGACTCATAAAATTCTGACAATCATATTATGAGGTAGATGTTATAATCTCTGTATTGCAGAAGACTGAAACTCAAAGAATTTCAATGTCTTGCTCAGAGTCACATAGCTAAATGGTAAAGCCAGGTTTCTTTAGATCCCAAGTCAGTGCTCCAAAAAACTAATCTGTATCACGTCCCAAATAAGACCCTAGTTCACTCTACATAAACATTTCTGTTTATTGCATTAAATAGGTCCGTTCACAAAACTTTATACAGTACTGGACAGATTAGCTGTGTGTGTCAGCTTGTGTATATATGTCTGTTTAACAGTAGCTAAATATTTTAAAAGAATAAAACTCTAACTTCAGAGAAGCAGATATCTCATCAATGCTGCCAAAAATCACTAAAGAAGAGTGGCTTCAGTTAATGCTATATTGGCAAGACAAAAAAAATGTCACAACTTTTATGGCTTTAGTGACTATTCTTTGTTTCAGATCAAGTATACTCTGAATCATTCTTTTCCACTTTCTCTTTGCCACAAGCCAGATAAACATTGACCTGACATGAAGTAAACCCAATATATCCATCCAGAGTGGCATATACCCTCTGTGTTACAGAGAATAGTAGCTAAAGATAAAAAAAGAAAAAGCTCATGTTCCATCTGATATCATATAAACATACTTAGAATTTTTGTGCTAGATTTTGAAACCCCGTTAAATATGTAGTGGATCATTTTGATATTGCTTCAGGTATTCTTCTAGCCTCTATTATCATAAGCTTGTCTCTACAAGAATCATGTATTTTTATGCCAATTTCACAAATCTATACTCAGTGTCTTTAGTCAATTTTTAAAAATGTAATTGCTTATTGTGCTACTATGCTGGACCTTATCTATAAAGCTTGTTTGATTGTCTGCTGTGATTGTTTGTTTGCAAATACATGTAGCCTACAGAAAACCTTACAAATTAAGGCAATTTCTTGGCAATGAAATTTCTCCCCAAGAATCTTGTAGACACAAGAACATTATCTATTTGTATAGAGATTACAGGAAAATCCTACTGATTGTCTCTTTAAAACTAAGGATGGAATACAGTATCCAAAAGTATGATTCTATCTTTATTGTCTGCTATTTTAGTCATACCTCACATTTATGAGAAATCCTGGATTCGGAAGTTACTGCTAAAGAATTTCACACTCATGAGAATGGCTGTAATTTAAAAAATGGAAAATAACAAGTGTTGGAGAGGTTGTGAAAAATTTGAAACCCTCACCCATTGCTGATGGAGATGTAAAATGGTGCATCTACTATGCAAAGCAGTTTGGCAGTTCCTCAAAAAGCTAATCATAGAATTACCATATGACCTAGCAATTCCACTCCTAGGTATATACCAAAGGAATTGAAAGCAGGGTCTCAAAGAGATATCTGTGCACCCACGTTCATAGCAGCACTATTTATAATAGCCAAAAGGCAGGAACAACCCAAGTGTCTGTTAACAGATAAATGAATAAACAAGATGTGGTATATTCACACAATGAAATATTATTCAACCATAAAAGTGAATGAAGTTCTGATTCATACTACAACATGGATGAACCTTGAAAACATTTTTTTTAACCTATGGAAACTTTAAATTTATTTATTTAGTTATTTAAGTTATTATGGATACATAATAGTTGTACATAATTATGGGGCACATGTGATTTTTGATACAAGCATATAATGCGTAATGAGCACATCAGGACAATTGGGGTATTCATCACTTCCAGCATTTATCATTTCTTTGTGTTAGGAACATTCCAGTTCCAGTCTTTTCATTATTTTGAAATATATAATACATTATTGTTAACTATAGTCACCCCATTGTTCTAGTATGCACAAGACCTTATTCCTCTTATCTAACTGTATTTTTGTACTTTGAAAATATTAAGTGAAATAAGCCAGATACAAGAAAACAAACAATATGATTCCATTGTATGAATGAAGTGCCTAGAACATGTAAATTTATGACAGAAAGTAGGTTAAAGGTTAACAGGGGCTGGAGAAAGGAGGGAATGGGAAGTTATTGTGTAATGGTTACAGAGTTTATCTGAGGTGATAAAAATGTTTTGGAAATAGTGGTAAAGGTTGTACAACATTGTATATATAATTAATACAACTGAATTGGACATATAAATGGTTTAAATATCAAATTTTATGTTATATATGTATATATTACCAAAATTTAAAGTTATTAATAATGTAATATACCCCAAACCACTGAATGGTTAATTGTATGGTATGTGAATGATATCTTAAGAAAGCTGTTAAAAAGGAAAAAACAAAGTTGCTGCTGAATTAGCAATGATATCTGTGATCATGATGATGATGATGATAATTCCAACAAGAGCAGCAACTGCCATTTGCCAAGTATCATGCTAGGAGTTTTACATGACTTTACCTCACAAAAGTTGCTTAAGTTAAATATAGAAGTATTGTCTCGTTTTTCACATGGAGTACTGGAAACTCAGGTAGCTCCTATAAGTTGCTTAGGGTCACAAAGTTAATAAGCAGCAAAGCTGGGATTTAAATTCAAGTTTGTCTGAATCCAAAACACTTTCTAAAATTCTCTCACCAGACCTATAACCCTTAAAATTGGAAGCATTTGCTAAACCAGTTATCTCAACTCTGAGATGAAATGAACACTTTTACTTCATAAGGCTACTGTGAGGATTAAGGGCAAGAATGTCTGTAAAACATTTGGAAGAGCACTGGGCATAGCATCAACACTCAATATGTGGTGCTTCTTATTGTTTTGTGTGCAGGATGGAACAGAGACTTTGGTAAGATGGAGTAAAGAGGTTGTAGGGAGGTAATGCACAGAAATTAGAAGATGAGATAAGGTCAAATTAAGCAGAAGAAAACTGTGTTTGTCTTATAAATGTTCTGTTCTAAAGAAAAAAAGTTAAAGCCCTTCTCCAGGGATACACAGGACTGGAAGAATCTGAAGTTATTTATTCCTGAAAAGGAACCAAAAATATGGTGAAAAGTAGGTAGGTAGGAAAAACTGAGGGGACTTAGACGAGAAGAAAAGGGGCAGAAGCCACAGAAATAAAGGTATTTTTGTGTGGACCCTTTGGACTTCATGGGAACAGTTCGAAATTCTGTTTGAGCCTCTAGGCTCAGAGTATATTGAAAATAATTTCATAACTCTCAGTCTCTCTCTCTCTTTGTCTCTACTTATTGATCCAGCTACTTTACATGTTATATATTGACTTTTCACTATACAGGATAAGAAATTTAGCTTCCACTACTCCTGTCTCCACCACCTTCCTCCATTTCCCAGCCCTCTTGTCACCTATGCCGTTACTATAATTAAGTTTACTAGGAAATGATTCTGGCAACCAAAGGCCAAGAAACATACCTATACTGTTATGATTAATGTAAATCTTATTTCTCTGTGACTCAAGGAGCATAACTGTACAACAGAGAAAAACTTTGACATATATGTCACAAAACCTTTGGCACTAAAATCCTGTGCTGCTGCTCCAATTGCCAAAATTGAATTGGTTCTCTTTACTTATACTACATCAATTGCACAAAACCAAGTCATGCCTTAGTTTGCTCATATTTGAGGTATGACTTTCTTGTACATAATTTTTCCCGTAGCCTTTTTTTCCTTAAGACTAAAAAATATATACCTTCATCACCATGTAACTAAGATCATACAGCTTTTTAAGCATACTACTACTTGCTGGGTCTGCTGTACCCTGTATCCAGGGGGTTTCTTTTTGTTATAACCTTATGTTTTTCCACTGCATCTTTGAAACTTCCTCTTCCCAACTTCATGTTACTTGACAATAAACTTAAATATTTCCAGGATAATGAAAAATCATCTGAACTTTGCAGATCTAAACTTATCTTTTCTTGCCTTCAAAAATGATTACTTTGAGTTTAGAATTCTAGGTTCAAAATAATTATCCAGGACTACATCAAAATTAAAAACTATGCTTCAAATGATACAATCAACAAAGTAGAAAAGACAATCTACAAAATGGGCGAAAATATTTGCAGCTCATATATCTGGTATGGAGGTAATATCTAGAATATATAAAGAACTCCTAGCAATACAACAACAACAAAAATAACCGAACACATTGCTCCATGAGGATATAGAGAAATCAAAACCTTTGCACACTGTTGGTAGGAATGTAAATTGATTTAGTTGTTATGCAAAACGGTAGAGTAATTCCTCAAAAATTAAAAATAGAACTAACATATGATTCAGTAGTTTCACTTCTGGATATATATTCAATAGAATTGAAAGCAGAGTCTCAAAGAAATATTTGTACACCCATATCCATAGCTGCATTGTTCACAGTAGCCAAAAGGTAGAAGCGATCCAGGTGTCCTTGGATGGAAGAATGAATAAACAAAATGTGATATCTCTATATATAGGTTTTGATTTCTCTATATCCTCACCAACACTTGTTATTTTCTGTTTTGTGTTAGTAAACATCCTGATAGATATGACGTGATATGTCATTGTGGTTTTAATTTACATTTCCCTAATGATTAGTGGTATTGAAACAATTTTATTGTGATTCTTTTGTAGATGACATGGTTTTTCCTCACTAAAATAATGTACATTATTTTATTTAACTTCAGCATTCTGAAATTTCATAAGAATATGTCTAATTTGTCTTGCTAGACACTAGAGGGAAGTCCTTTGAATTTGAACTTTCCAGTTTTTCATCAGCTCTGGGAAATACTCTTTTTAAACATAATTTTATCCCCTCCATTACTGCTGTCTTACTTCTAGGAATTTAGCATGGATCAATCTTCTTAATCTTACCTTTTTATCATATTTTTATGTTTTTGTCTTTCTCCTCTATGTTACAAAAGATTTCTTTGATTATTTATTCCAATCTTTTCATGCATTATATATGTGTATATATATATATATAAATTTTTTTTTTTTTTGAGATGGAGTCTCGCTCTGTTGCCCAGGCTGGAGTGCAGTGGCGCGATCTCAGCTCACTGCAACCTCCGCCTCCCAGGTTCACGTCATTCTCCTGCCTCAGCCTCCCGAGTAGCTGGGACTACAGGCGCCCGCCACCACACCTGGCTAATTTTTTGTATTTTTAGTAGAGATGGGGTTTCACCATATTAGCCAGGATGGTCTCGATCTCCTGACCTGGTAATCCACCTGCCTCGGCCTCCCAAAGTGCTGGGATTACAGGCGTGAGCTATGCATGCTATATTTTTGGCAATAATATTTAAACTTGTAGGCTGCTCTTATGTGTACTCTGATTGCTTCTTTTCATAGCAGGTGCATTTTTTTGTGTGCGTGTGGATACAACCTCTTCCCAAATCTCTCTGAAGATATTAAGTAGATTTGTTTAAATTTCTCTTCTCTAAATTATCTGACTTCTCTGGAGACTTATGTGTTTTGTTTATTCACTTTTGTGCTGTTGGCTTTTCTCAAATAATCGCAATATACCTGTCATACTTCATCATCAGAGTGTGTAGATCAAAACCTATATTTCAAAATCTATCAGATAATCTTTGGAGTTGACTTCCAGCCAAAACTATATAGACCATCATTGTATTTTATTCTTAAACAGCATTTCCATTTTCTTGTTATTCATTTGTGCTTGAATTATTATTACTGTTGTTGTTGTTACTTCTTCACAGATATCTTTATGATATTTGGCAATTTCGTGAGGGCCACCTTTATTATAATTAGGTAGTATAATGGAGATTATAATTAGAGCATATCTAAGGTTCAAGGTGTCCTAATATTCTGAAAATGAATAGACAAATAAAGGCCTGTCTTAGCTTGGGTTTCCTCAGACTCTGAGTTGAGTACTTGAGTACAAGTAGTTAATTGAGAAGTAACTCAGGATGTTCCAATAGGGAAGAGGGAAAACAGGAAAGGGAAGAAAGCCAAGAAAGGGTACATCATTGAGCAGTTTACAAGTGTGGGTGACTAGGACATAATCCTGATGGGGAATTCTGGGAGACCATGTAGATTATCCTTTAAAATTATATACTATGTACTATATAGTATAGTACCTGCCCACTAATACAGTAGTCCTCCTTATCTGTGGTTTCACTTTCTGTAGTTTTAGTTACCCACAGTCAACTGCAGTCTGAAAATATTCAATGGAAAATTCTAGAAATAAACAATTCATAAGTTTTAAATTGCGTGCCATACTGAGTAGAGTGATGAAATCTCATACTATCCTACTCCATCCCATCTGGGACAGCGTATCCCTTTGTCCAGTGTATCCACTCTGTATGTGCTACCTGCCCATTAGTCACTTAGTAGCTGTCTCGTTCATCAGATCAACTGCTTCGGTATCGCAGTGCTTGTGTTCAAGAACCCTTATTTTACTTAATAATACTTTACTGATAATTACCTAATTATTAGTTATTGTTAATCTCTTACTGTGCCTAATTTTTAAGTTAAACTTTATTGTAGGTATGTATAGAAAAACATAGTATTTATAGGGTTTGTTACCATCTGCGTTTCAGGCACCACTGGGAGGTCTTGAAATGTATCCCTGTGGATAAGCAGGGACTACTCTACCCTGGTTGTCATTTCTCCTCCATTTTTTGATGCTGAAGTGTTCCTTCACTTTCCTACAAACTCAGCGATGACTCTAAAAGAATATCTGTCATAGTTTATACAGAATTTCTAACTGTATTGTTGTAGAAGAGTTTTCAGATTATTTACTGTACCATATAGGCTATTTTCCCAAAAATATAAACATTAGGATTAAAGGAAGACAAAACTCAACAAATACATATTATAAGACATGAATGTCTTAGAAAAATACCTGGCACACTTTAAGAGCTTGTTAAATGTTAGCTATTGCTAGTACCAAGATCCTAGTAATAGAAGCTGTAGACACAGAAGTAGAAGTATAGGTAGAAGTATCATTGGAAGAAAAGAGAGAAAGAAAGATTGATGGGGCTGCCCTTAATGCTTCTGAGGAAGTAAAATAAGAGTGTTTGTCCCAGTAATCTTCTGCTTTTATTGCTTCTACCAAAGTTCCATTCTCTGCACAACATGTCTCAGTTTACATCTTTAAAGCTCACTGTGGGGTAGGAATAATTCTCAGATTGTTTAAGTTTCATCAGAAATGAGAAAGGGTCAGCATATATTAAATTAAAACCAGTTTTTGAGTTGCCTGATTGGGGATGATCAAGGAGATGAGGCCTCTAATTATTGGAATACCTGAAGAAAGATTTTGGGAAGAATCAAAGCCATTGAATGAAGACTTACTTAAGTGTCTGCAGTGTGTTGTGGATTAAAACCCCTCTCCTATAAATCCCCTTTGTAATCCTTGATACAACTTTCATTACTCATTTATCATTTTATGTGAATTGAGTTTCAGTTTGGAGGAGATCAAAAATACCTGCTAAGGGACAGCTGGATACCTGCATAACAATAGCAATGCTCCTCCTTGGAGGTGGAAGCAGTGAGAGATTCCATGAGCTGCCCCTCCAAACTGAGGAATCAAGCTGAGGAAAGAAAGACATTCTGGGGAGAAGCAGCAGCATGAACATCTTCCTGGAACTGGAAGCAGATCAGTGACAGTGGATCACAGGCTACAGGGCAGCAGTGAGCCAAAAGGTGGGACCGAAAGAGAAGGCAGAAAACAGATCATAAAGAATATTTACTGCTAGGCCAAGGACATAGAATTTTTAATGTAGAAGATGCAGATCACTGAATGGTTTTCAAGCCTGGAATGTATTGTCATTTAATATTGTGGAAAGGTAATTATTGACACAGTTTGAGATAATGCTTTGAAGGAAAGCAAGGTCAAAGGCAGAACAGGAAACTAATTCAGGAGCTATTGTAGGGCTTCAGTCTAAGGAGAGTGAGAACCTAGACAAAGGAAGGAGCAGCTGGACTGAAGGTGGTGGGAAAAATCTGTGAGCTATCTATAAGACAGAATTGACTAACTTGGGAATGTCAGTTAGGTAAGCTAAGCTGCAGTGAAAATAGACCCAAATATATATCATGGTTCAAACAATATAAAAGTCTATTTCTTGTATACATAGTTGCTCAAGGAAGATGTTCTTTGTCAGCTGGATGCTCTCCTCTGTTTGATGATTCAGGAATCTGGGCTCCTTCCATCTTCTGGTTCCACTATCCATTAGAACTTCTTGATAGTCCCCAGAGGGAGAAAGAGTATGGAGGGGGCATATCATCATTTTACAACCCTTGGCCAGGAAATGGCTCATAACACTTCCACACATATTTCATTCACCAGTACTTACTACCATGGCCACATCTTACTGCAAGGGGCTGGAAAATGTAGTATAGCTGTAGGTCCAGAAAGAAAGAGAAATGGACTTGGTAAACAGCTACAAATCTTGACACAATATCCCTTGGCACAAGGGAAAGAAAGGATCATATAATAATTCCCAATATTCATATTTGTTAACTGGATGAATGGTGGTAGATTAGCGAGTATAGGTTTGGGCGAAGAGAGATGGGGTAAGGAGTTTAGTTTGAGATATGTAGAGTTAGAGATGCCTAGCAAATACCTACGGAGGTATCCACTATATCTGTCCTATGCATATCCTTAAGGATTCGAGATATATAACATTGGTCATTATGCTAATTTACTAGCAGGTCTTATATAAGCTTTTGATGTGTGCCAAATATGTAGAGGATTTACTTGAATTAAATCTTTGAAAACTTTTCCATTGAATCCTTCATAGGTCTTTACTTACAGGCAAGGCACAGATGGGAAAACACAACTAAATATTATTCCAAAGTAGAAAGCAAATTAATTTCCCATGAAAGCAAAATGGCATGTTCCATGGAGATCTGAATTATTACACAGTGCACAGCCATCCACAGTGAAAAGAAAACAGACTGGGAGCATTATCCAGGTGTAGCTATGCTTGATTTCAAATTATGGGGGACTAGCAGAAGTGGGGTTCTTTGCTTGTTTATTTTTCATAGATCTCCTTTAAGCATGTCCCTCTGCACCTGAGGGAGGTGAAAAGGACTGATTGGAGTATCTGAGGTTTGAGAGTAGGCTCACTTAAGTTCTGATTCCCTCAAAGCAAATTGCTTCAACATGAAATCAACCTTCAGTCTCTCAAGTAGCCATATTCTCCCTGTGTGGTTAGCTATTATGACAAATCAAAGTGTTCTTAGGATGCTTTGGTAAATTACTAAGATTTTAGTGTTCTTGATGATTACCCTGTGGTCTTAAAGTGGCTTGTCACTTCTAAGACAGAGGTTTTTCACTTGAACAATGTAATGAATAAGTGACCAGATGAATTAAAATATTTCCATAATCTTTCTTTACTTTTAAGAAAATAATAAAGTGTATATGTTTATTATTCACAAACCTAGATAATAATAATTTAATTTTCTGTGTCTTTTGTGTGTCAAACTTTGTTTCATTACTGTGTGTGATAGGAACACAAGGTTGGTGATGGAGTGGGGAAATTAAATATCTCACTGGAATTGTCAGGAAACAGGAATTAGATGAATCTACCCGTTTCAACACATTCAGTCAGGGTCATCTGGGATAATAAAGTTAATGGACAAATGGCTATAAACATGCTTAGGTGTTGTCCATAATCTTTTCATGTGAAGTATAGGACAATAGGACAAAAAAGCTTAAATATTAAGTAAAAACACTTTGGAAACCTGCATATCACAAAATAGACTGAAGTAGTTTTGGATGGAGATAGGAAGATAGACAGACAGAGTATGCGAATGGGTATACAATGCTTTTTGCTCTTAGATGAACAAAAAACTCTGGCAATATAACAGTTTGAGTGTCAGCAAAGACCTCAGCACAAACTGCCAAAATGATGTAAATGGAAATGCTCTCTTGCTTTTCTTCACAGAGCAAATATTTTTCTGCCGTACCAATGGAAACCCCAGACACTGCACAGCCAGCCCGTCTGTGTTTACTTCTTGTTATGTAACCTGCCTTTCCCCTAACTCTCATACTCCACGGGAGAGTCAGAGTTCTACAAACAGCCTAAGATGAAATCATCATTATTATGGCTTTTGCATGCCGAGCTGTGGCTTGGTCCCATAATTCTAAAGGCTAAACCCGTAGAGACAAAAAAAAAAAAAAGATTAGCAAGGGCTCTTTGCCACTCTAGCTGTGGGAGTCCACTTGGAGGGCTTCTCAACTGACTGACCCCCATGGAAACCCAGTGCCAGATTCTGTATCACTACAAAACACAGGTTGGATTACATACCTCTTTGCATGACTGCCAGATGGAGCTGCCAGTAGGGGAAAATGACTAGGTCTTGAATATGTATTTCTTCTAGGTTTCAAGGGAAAAAGGAAAACCCATCACATGTCAATTGTTAACATGCCCACAGTCCTTGTTCCTCTCCCTCAATGGGAGCTCATTGCTCCAATTAATTTCCACCTCAATTAATATTCATCAAGTGTCCATAGTGAGCCAGACCCAGCTGGGGTGAAGAGGGACAGGTAAGGACAACCACTCCTTCTACCCATATTGCTAATGTGGAATGTTTCAATCAATATTGAAATTTTCAGCACCCCCCCGTCCCCCCACAAAAGACCTTGAATAGCTGGTCTTCATGAACTCTTCAGAAATAATTATTAAGTCATCTGCCTGATGTAGACATATATGACCCTAGAGGAATTCCAGTGCAAGTAAGAGGTACATCTGTCTGATAGATCTGCCTTTCTCTGTGCCAAGGACCTTTTTATAGAGCTCTCTGTAATAAGATACTTAGAGGATATCAACAAATCACAATCCAAACTATAGGAAAAGAAATGCATATTTAATTTTCCTTTGCAAAAAAAAATAAAGAAAAGTAATAATGTTGACACTTAGAAAGTATTAAGCACCTAGTTTCAGATTAATCTGGTCACCCTCAGAAAGGAAGTCATAACAAGATAACCCAGTGTCCTCTCAGTTCTCCAAGGAACAAAGCTGAGTTAAAGGATTTCCAAATGTGAAATGACGACAATTTTCTAAGGTTTTTTTGCTCTGAAATTTATTGTCTATTGTATTTCAGTGGCAGGGACGGTTCCATGTACACTTTTCAGGATAAAACAGCAAACCTGAATTGGCACTAGTCTGTTAGCTACTGATATATGCAAATAAACAAATTCTTACCTTTATTTTCTATATTTAAAAATGTGCACATTTATAGATAGACATGCATATTGCTATATAAGTCCACACCAAGTCTGAGGCATTGTTAAGGCTCTTCTGAACCATTTCTAAATTATTTATTCTGGCTTAAGGGAAGTAACAAAAATTATTCAATTTCCACAGGAAATTAATTTGTTACCTTTCTCATTAATAAAAGCAAAGCTCTCTGGGGTACAGTGTTTTGCTAGTACTTTCTACAATGTCCATTGTTTATTATGCTTGCCTCAAATTGAAGGTAAAATGTTTGCATTACCAGCGGCCCTTCTTCACTGTTAATGGGCATCTCAATTAGTCTTATATGGCATGCAATTGTATTCCACACTGGAGTAGTGCCCACCTTTGCATAATATTTCAGCTTTCATAGTTGAGCTATAATTAATTCATTAACTGATATCTGGTGCTTAAAAAGTCAAATGTCCCTTTCTGAGAATTTAGCTTGTACATAGCATAATACAGTAAAAGGTCAATAATCTGTGAATAATCTTATAGTCCACTACAGTGTGGTGTCATTATAGGTTCCTTCATAAAAATACAGCATACTCACACTGAGTAATTGAGAAGAATTTGAGAATTGGACCATTTACAAAGGTGTGGGCCAAGTGTAGGAAAAATAGCAAGGGATATTGCCGCTCCACAGGTCTAGCAACATCAGAAAGTCTGAGGTCTGAAGAAAAAAGGGGAGGGAGCCATTACCAGAACCTAGGAGAATATCTATATGGAGACACCTGATAGGAACTATGGCCTTCGGCTAAGGGGAAGTAGTGAAGCCCTGCTAAAAAGGCAGAGAAAGAGCTAGGGGATAAACTTTTTTTTCTGTTAATGGTTTGTGATGCAGAAAGGGATAAACTTTTTATTATTCTCACCTTCCTATTTCTTCTTATGCTTCCCACCTTCCTATTTCTGCATGCCTTCCATTGGATAAACTGGAAGCCAGATGGCAAGGAAGCCTGCTGAGGCAGTCTGCAGGGGTCAGCTTTCCCCAGCACAGAGCAGCAGGCCGAATGATATAAGGATATGGTATAAAAGGGTCATGTGTAAGACATTCAGCCTAGAAGCCCTGCCTCATTGTTTGATGTTTTTGGACATTGCTCTAATGATAATGCCAAGACCACTTCATGTCTCAATGCGGAGGACAAGATTAATACAGCATGTACTGTACCATGGATATAATAATTTGAGTAAATTATATAATAAACAGTATACTGTGTTATAAATTCAGTAGTCCATATTATGATGCACTGATAAATTGTGAACTGCAAATTTAGCATTCCAGAGTTATACTGCTTTAGTAGGTCATAGGTATTTCCTAATAACGTACAGGAGATGCATGAAGTAAAATAATCTGCTATAGGAAACTAATGTGCAGTTCTGAGATGACATTAACCCTTTGAGAAACATAAACATAAGTACTATATTTGTAATGCAATCTTTGTTTTTTTATTTTTCTCAAAATGTCACTGTATACATAGTAATTATAACTTTACTTAATGCATTGTTCATATCTACAAAACTGGTTTAGTCCTGAATATGAAGAAAAGCCAATAATCTTAAAAAATATTCACTTAAACAACTCTAGATTATGTAGTTACCTGAATAATCAAATAAAGTTTTCATTGGAATCTTTTTCCAATAGAAGTGATTACAAACACTATCTGGATTCATTACTTCTGCTGCACTAATGACTTTTGGACCCAACATATTCAACTAAGTCATAATGTTTGGGTTCATTGTCTTCTAGGCCTCTGTTCTCTCTCTTGAGGCATCATTTCTTGAGGCATCTCTGGTTGAATAACATTTTAAATAACTCATTCACCAGTTAGCTCTTCTACTACTGTAATGCCTCCATTAGTATCAGTTGATTCCAATTTCCTCTTGAAAGACTGAATAAAGGGCTTCCATCTACAAAAAGCCCAGCCATCCCTTGAAATCCTGTTCATTGTTACTACATCTTTCAGGCTTTTCTGAAGAGTGTTAACTCTTCAAGTATTCCTCAAACAGAATACTTGTCTGCTAATAGGGTGCTACCCAGGAAGTCTTTAATGGCCAGCCAGGAAGCCAGGTCTCCTGACTGACTAACTGCCAATCCACCACTGAAACTCCTCACAGCAATCTTTCTGTGCACTGAGGCAAAGCCTAGATGCTAGGCAGCCGAGATTTTTTTGTAGCCCTTAAAAGTGTTTCTCAGCCTTTCTTTTGATTTTCACTTGCCCCCTAAGGATTTTTGACATATTTTTCTAAATAACTGCCCCACTACATGAAATTTTAATAGCACATATTAACTGTATATCTGTTAATGTACTGTGTGGCCCTTTGGAGGGCTACACAAATCATTGAAATATCTAAATTTTTTGCCTCTTCCAAGAACTGATTTTTGCCCCTTTGGAGTGGATATCACCTCCTTGAGAAGGTATGCCTTAAAACATAAGACTAGTTGGAGGCTTCAAAACTGTAAGATATGGTCTAATGGATTTCTACTCTATCTGCAGGTGAAGAAAGAAGAGTGAAGGATAATGGAAAGGAGATGAAGATGAAAGACTACTATGACTGACCTGAGGTCCTAGTCAATCAATCAATAAGAAATGTATTGAGTTCTGACCATCCTGTGTAGGTGTGCACATATGAAATATACAGGGTACAGCATGTAAAATTAAAAAGGGTCCATTCCTCAAATATCCATTCTATATACACAGGCCATCTTCTGATTTTCCCCATATATTTGCCACGAGTTTCAGACACACTTACGTTAACTTTATTCTCCTGAAGGCACTTCTGAAAAATACTTTTCTATGTACAGATATGTTTACAAAGATGTTAAAAATCACAAAACTGCAATGGAAACTTAAGCTTAGTCATTTTACTAAAGAGTCAGGGGAAGGAATGCATGATCTGCTTTCTAAACAAGAACTTCTAGGTTTAATGCCAACCCAGGAAAGAGTAATTGTTGCACTGGTAATGTGATTCCCTTCATTTCCAGTCTTAGTAATATAAATATTCCTATTAATGCTTGTTCTGTCACCGTAGTAACAATGAATTCTTCCTGAACCTGAATTTAAAATTAGTAGCTAACAGCACTTGGGCACACAGAGCTATGTCCTGGGAAAGTGCTTTCCAAACCCAGGTCAGTTGACCTCCCACATCAGAATCACCTGGGTAGCTTGTTAAAAGTACAGACCCAAACTCTCCAGCCAAACTTACTGGACAAGAATTTCCAGAAGTGAACCTAGGGATTAGCAGTATATTTTTTCAAAAGCTTTTTAGTTGATTCTGATCTACAGCCAGGTTTGGAAGGAACTGTGGGATAGTTGAAGGTACTTGTTTGTTGCAGAAACAAATAAAAAGTCTGAATGGTACTCTAGTTCAGATATTGCTAGTCACTAAGTGTGTGACCTTGGGCCAAGCACTTGAGATTCCATTGGCCTCACCGTCTTCTATGTATGTTTACCAATGCCTCCTTATTTCTAGATTCTGGTCATCCATGAACTCCTCATAGTGCAAGTTGCCTAAGGATCTCCATTATCAATCTTCTTTTTGTGTATCTTTCAGCTTCTGCCCCTACTAAGAGTTTTCTTGCTCCTTCCTTTTGTTTTTTACATACTTGAAGGAAATTGCTTCAATCCATCAGTATGGTTCCTGATAGACAGTGTTCTCACAGGCCACCTCCTAGACCACTAGGCATCCTGTCGCTTGGCTGCCTTAGAGTTAATGTTCCCCTTAGTCCAGTCAGCTGATGCCAGGGGTATAGGATTACATGGTACAGAACAAGGTCATTTCTGTATCTGGAAACACCTATAGCCATTTTCTTCAGTAAACCTTACATTTATGGTCATAGTAGCCAATTCGAGCCATTGTCTAAAATGGTCTCTTCTTTCTTTAAAATTGTATAATTTCATTAATAAATAATATCCCACTCAAGCACATGAATGATGACAAGTAGACACATCTTAATTCACTGTTAGAATCTTAAATACATCATCTACTTCTTAAATGAGCTAAAGGAACCAAGACGTAGTCATGTTGGTTTCTCATTAGCTAGAGGCCATCCTTGCTGTGTGTCAGTCTAACTTTAATCCTATTCCCAGGTAGAGACCTTAATAAATAAGAAGTTATTGTGGTATCATTCAGAAGACATTAAAATCATGGCATTTACTTCTTTTTCTTTTTGCCTCTGAAGTAGGGGACTTTTTTCACCATCCAGACCTAACTCCTACACATATGCCATGGACTCCATTTCCTCTCATCAGCTTCAGGATCTGAACTCATAAATTATCCTTAACTGCCTTTACCTTCAACTTTTCCTTTTACACTAGCTCCTTTCTCTCTGCCTATACCCATGCTCAAAAATTTATTCCCATTTTCAAAAGAAAATTTTCCTCAGTCCAAAATCTCAATATATTGATGAGGTCATATTTTCTTCCTACAAGAGTTGTGAAAAAAAAGTGGTTTGCTCTCATGGTACCCCTTCTCAATTTTACATTCACTCTTTTTTGCAATCTGACTTCTGCCCCAACCATTTATCTTAAATGATTCTGTCCAAAGTGACCACTGCCTGCCCACTTTCTGAACCATTTGATTATTTTTTGATCCGTTCTTACTTGAAATTTGACACTGCTTATCACTTTTTCCTTCTTAAAACTATCTCTTACTTTGGCTTCCATGATGTTATTCTTTAGTCTCTGCTTACATCTCTATTCCTATGGATCACCTTTACAGACCATTCATATATAAGGCACCACCCTTTGAATATCTGCTTATCTTATGGTCTGAACACTGATCAGATACTTCAAACTGTTTCTCTTAACATTTTCTTTAACTTTTATCTATATCCTGACAAGCATTTAAATTTCTTCTTTGAGAGAACTGGTCAGGGGCAGCAACTGCTTCCCTTATTTTTTTCCCTTCCTTCCAAGCACTGTTCTCCTCAGGTTAAATCCCTCAACCAGATCCGACACAAGCTTGAAGATGGGTCCTTGCATCCATTCTGAGTGTGGTAAATACTATGCTGTGTCAACCAGATCCCTCTTCAGGACCAAAGGACTCATTCCCTCAGCTGCTGAGAATGCAACTAACAGACAGCCCTCAGTTGTAAACCCTTCCCCAAAATTGCTCTTAGGTGGAAAGAGCTGCTTTAAGATTATGTCTCTTTCCCAGAGTCAACCTGCATCCAGTGAGCATAATGGAGAAATATGAAGACATAGCCCCTTTGCTATAAAGTAGAGCAAACTTCAAGAGTTTTCCCTGTTTCAGGACTCCCTGTGGGGTTGGTTGAGGCTTCTCTGGGAACTATGTTAACACTCAACTTTTCCCTCTGCCTAGTCTTATTTCCTTCCCTTACTCTCCAGGTATTGATCTGTAGAGCACTCCCCAGTAAACCTCCTACATGTGAATCTGTCTCTCAGAGTCTGTTTCCTGGGGATCCCAACCTGCACCTTTGAGTTACCTAGGCAGTCAACCTGACTGTTCACTATGTTCAGCTTATCACCACCATGTGTACACATACACTTCGTATTTCATCATCTGCTGTGTTGCCAGGCCTGGTAAAAGCCCAGCTCTCATCTGCTTCCCAACAATTAAAAAGATGGCTCATAATATTCATTGCAGGAGGTAATATACGTGGAACACTTTGAAAAGACCTAAAAGCAACTTGAAAATGCTCTCATAAGTGATTCGGTAAATCAAATACCAAAGATAAGATTCCATACCTTGATTTTATATCTTGGCTACTGTGACTAGTGCTGCAATAAACGTGGGAGTGCGTTTATCTCTTTCATATACTTATTTCCATTTTTTGGGATATATACCCAGCAGTGAGATGGCTGGATTGTTTGGTAGTTCTATTTTTAGCTTTTTGAGGGACCTTCTTACTGTTCTCCATAGCGGCTGTACTAATTTACATTTCCACCAACAGCATACCAGGGTTCCCCTTTCCCCACATCCTTGCCAGCATTCAATATTGCCTGTCTTTTGAATTGAAGCCATTTTAACTGGAATGAAATGATATATCATTGTAGTTATTATTGGCATTTCTCTGATGATTAATGATGTCAAATATTTTTTCATATACCCGTTGGCCATTGTGTGTCTTCTTTTAAGAAATGTCCACTCAGATCTTTTGCCCATTTTAAAATCAGCTCATTTAATTTTTTCCTATTGTGTGTGCTCTTTATATATTCTGGTTATCAATCCCTTGTCAGATAGCTAGTTCTCAAATATTTTCTCCCATTTTGTGGGTTGTCTCTTCACTTTGTTGATTGTTTCCTTTTCTGTGCAGAAGCTTTTTAGCTTGATGTAATCCAGTTTGTCCATTTTTCCTTTGGTGTCTATTATTCAGCCATGAAAAATAATTAAACCCTGTCACTTGTAACAACATGGATGGAACTGGAGGACATTACGTTAAATGAAATAAGCCAGGCATAGAAAGACAAATATCACGTGTTTTCACTAATATGCAAGAGCTAAAAAAAAAATAAACTCATGGAGATAAGGAGTAGAATGATGGTTACCAGAGGCTGAGAAGGTAGTGGGGAGTGGGAAACAAAGAGAATATGGTTAATGGGTGCAAAAGTACAGTTAGATAGAAAGAACAAGATCTAGTGTTCAGTAGCACAATAGGGTGACTATAGTTAACAATAATTTATTTTATATTTCAAAATAAATAAAAGAGTGAAATTGGAATGTTTCTAAAACAAAGAAATGATAAATGCTTGAGGTGATGGATACCCCAATTATATCACATGTACCCCATAAATATGTACAACCATTATGTATCCATAATAATTTTTTAAAAACAGCAACTTTATGAATAGAAGAAAAACAAAGTAGCATAAAGCTCTGAATTAAGTGAAGTTTTAGAAAGTAATAGTCTTCTGCAATGTTCTATAAGTAGGATAAGCACATAGTGAATTTCCTGAGAGAGTTCCTCATACTGACAATGCATGAGATACAAAAGTGTGGACAGAGGAATCGACCTGATTCCTCATTCTTCTTCAAACACTTTAAAATGTGTGAAACCTACCACTAGATGAACTCAAAGAAAATCCTAGCCTGGCTCTAACAGCCAGGGGACCAAGGCTTGCCCTTTAAGAATTAATCCTTAGGTTTACAAAAGACTCAGTGCCAAAATTAAAGAAGGATGAAGAGATAGACAAATGTTCAAGTAGCTTCCAAATAGCCCTTGTTTGTTTTCTCTTTGCACAGTATGTGACTCAGTCTTATTCACTCTATAGAGAGATCTACTTTCCTAGCTCTCAATTGCTACACTTGATTTCTCAGACCATGAGGTTCCTTCTTATAACCTAACGTCAATGAAGGCTGGTATTGCTGTAACAGAAGCTTTTTTACCCAGGTCCCAGAATCTTTCTTATATTTGTATGATCCCTCAAGAACAGTTCTGACTTGTTTTAGGCTTTGCTGTTGTTTATTCAGTTAAAAAGGGGAAACAAAAAATGTGGCTAAGGTTACATAGAGCCCCACTTTACTAATAAAATATGTGTGATGAACATTAACATTCAAAGTATCGATTTAAGCAGTGACAACTATCTCTCCTCAGACTCATTTGCATGTGTATTGAAAAAAATGACCAACATGAAAAAATCCAAATGTGAAAATGTCTCTTTAATTTGCAGCTGTGACCCCTGTTTGCAGAGACACTTGGTTCTCTACACTTCCTCCCAGAGACACTGTTGTCTTCAAGCCATTGTTCAAACTGGGCTCTTTTACACCCTTAAAATTTCGCCAGCCCTGTCCAACAGCTGCTAGTATTTTACAGCCATGCCTAGCAATATAGGCCTCTCTTGCAACTGTGAAAAAGGGTGTTTTTTTAAAAGCTCCCTTTGCCTTCTCAGTTTATGGTTACTTTAGTTCTCCATTAAGTAGGGTTTTGAGTGTCTGTTGCCCACGTCTATTAAGTAGGACTGGGTTAACATGAGCATTTCACCAATGCAGGCAGATTGACTGTATTTCAAGGCCTTCACTTTAATTTACTTATGTAAGTTCAGGTTGTCTACTGCTGCATAACAAACCACCCCACACTTAGTGGTGTAAATCAGCAACAATCATGTAATATTATTAGTATTATTATTGCTTATTGCTCTCCCTCACATTTCTGGGATTGGCTGGGCTCAGATGGGCAGTTCTTGCTCAGAGTTTCTCATTCACCTGCATGCAGGTAGTTTCTGGGGGCTGGATTCATCTCAAAGGCTCCCTCACTCATGTGTCTGTTGATTGACATAGTTGCCTGGAACCCCAGCTGGAACTGTGGTTAACTGTAACTCGTACATGTGGCCTCTCCATGTAACCTAGGATCCTTCATTGCATGGCAGTTAGGCTCCAAAAGCAAGCATTCCAGAGAGAGAGAGAGAACTAGATTAAAACTCTATCACCTTTTATGACCTAGCCTTAGAAGTAACATGACATCACTTCTGCTGTATTCTGTTGATCTGTACAGTCATAGAGGTCCACCCAGCTTCAAGGGAAGGAAACACAGACTCCATTTCTTGATAAGGGTGTGTCAAGGTGCATTGTAAGAAGAGAATGTACAAATCGGAAATATTGTAATGGCCATTATTGGAAAATGCAGTTTGCCAAAATATACAACTTTTAAAAATTACACAAATAATATATTTTCTTTGTAGAAAATTTAAAAATACATACAGGTAATAGTTACTTTTTAACTTTAAACAGAGATTTTAACCTGCCAAGAAAGGCAGAAACACAATTAGCTTTCAGCTGCTTCATACCTATATGGAAACCATATTTTCTAATCCTGGTGTTAAGATTCATTGGTGTTTGTGTGCTTCCAGACACAAAAACATAACTTGAGAAATAGTTTCACATATTAAGAAATTTGGACATTTTGATAGTTAATAGAAGGTCAACAAGACAAAATATATAAAGCCAGAACTGTCTCCAAAAATTCACTTTGTTCTTATCCTACTTCCAGAATGCTGTAGAGGACTATTCCTTTCTGAAACTTTGCTTAATTCAGAGCTTTATTCTACTTTGCCTTTCTTACCTTTGATGTATTTACTTTCCTGATTCACTTATAAGAACATTTTCAGAGTTTCTTTTATGCCTTTTCAAAGTGTTCCACATGTATTACCCCTATTTGATCCTCTGCAATGCTGTCAATCATTTGCAATGCCAAATAGAACAATTAAATAACAACTCTGTGTTGTCTTTTAAAACATGCATTTGTACAGTAGAGCCTGAGAAAATAGAATATGGCAAATCAATGTAATGACAAATTACAAGGACATTAAAATGGTATCTAGGAATAGGTATTAGAAAAGGCACCTAATATATTAATTAAAGAAAATATTGTACCAATCTGTATGTATACATTAATATAATGTAATGCCTGTTATTTCATTTACATACATGTATAGAAAAATGGCAAGAGGAAAGGAAGGTTATAGGTAATTTCATTTGCTTTTTTATGCTAGCCTGTATTTTCCACATTTTCCATTGTGAATGTACGTTAGAGTTTTAACTCAAAAATAAAAGTTTATACATTTTAAAGCCAAGTTCAGAAGAAAATTATAGGAGAAACTCTCAGCTGTATACAGTACCCATGATGAGGCTTTTATACATTCTTAATTTTCCTAATTGTCATTATACTTGATGTACATCCAACTGGTTAACCAATCCTTAAGAACAAAAGATCAGATCATCCATTTCACACCTTATTAGGGATAAATTTCAATTGACATGATTATACCACCTGGATGGACATCATTGAGATATAATGATGCTCACACACTTTTGAGTTCATAGAGTTTTCCAGTTAATCAGAAATATCATTGGCAGCATATTCTAATTGCCTTGTTGGATTCTAACAATTGTCAGATATGTGGTAGGACTCAGAAATACTTGCTTGATTATACACTAAGGTATTGCTATATAGAGTTCACTGTGTAAGGCAGGGCTGTGATCAAGTCCTTATTTACCCCAGGAGAAATGAAGATTAGGTTGAGATTGGATCCATCCCCTCTAGTGAATCCATCTCCTCTGCTAGATCCAATGGTCATTGCTCATTTTACAACTTACAAGTCATGTCTAGTTAGTCAGAATCAGAGACAAGTTTCAAACTCAAGTCTGGCTTGTTCCACTCCGCTATTTCAGCAATATTGTGTAATAATTTCCAATGAACTAGTCTAATTATGAGTTCTGACATGCTGCTTTTCTTAGGTTAATATTCATTAGTGCTGGGGAGAGGAGGAAATTTTATATTTTGCCCTACAGGGCAAGCAGCAAGAATCATATTACATGATGCTATTTAAAGCTTCATTGATATTCCAAAAGTTATGGGACTTTTGGAGAATATACGTAGAATCTCTTCAATTTATTTAGGGGCCTTTGGAAACCTAAAAGAATATACGACTCAAAAATCTTCACTTCTACTCCCAAGTGATTGTTTTTATACTTTCAGATCCTACACAAATATCTACTTGCTAAAGCATAATAGTAGAAATGTATTACCATTCCAAACCACTAAGTTGTAAATGTAAACTTCATTCTGCAATTGCTATATATTTGTAAATGTAAAAGAGCAGACTGCAGTTCTTTTTGAGAAGTCTTAAACTGTTAAATTCATATTCCCATTTCATATGACTCACTTGGTGAAAGCAGCAATATCACATGCCAATATGAATAGAAAAATGGATCAAATATAAGAATGGAGGCGATGGAAGCAACATTTTAGGCTTTATCAATATACTAAAGCTTACAATTAGATTTTACCTAAAAATAAGTTTTGGAAGGATGGTTAGATGTTGTGAATATGTGGTTGATTGAGGCAGCAGAAAGTGGGATGAGTACATGAATTAGAGTGATGAATCAGCTATTTGGGCTGTGACTCAAAGTGTGGCACATCTACTGCCATGTGTAGGTAAAAAAACAGCCCTTGTATTTCACTCTTGTCTTAAACAGGACTTATTTAATATGTCCATCAGTATTTTACACAGGAAACATTTATATATTTTAATCAAATAGACACAAATAATTATACATTGAAAAGAATCCTCAACAAAATACCAGCAAACCAAATCCAACAGCACATCAAAAAGGTAATACATCAAGATGAAGTGGGTATTATACCAGGAATGCAAGGATAGTTCAACATATGCAAATCAATAAATGTGATACATGATATAAACAGAATTAAAAACAAATACCATATGGTAATGTCAATACATGCATAAAAAGCATTTAATAAAATTCAGCAACCCTTCATGATAAAGACCCTCCTAGAAGGAACGTAACTCAACATAATAAAGGCCTTATATAAGAAACTCACAGCCAACTTCATACTGAATGGGGAACAGTTGAAAGCATTCCCTCTAAGAACTGGAAAAAGACAATATGCCCACTTTCACCACTCTTATTCAGCATAGCACTGGAAATCCTAGCCAGAGCAATCAGGCAAGAGAAAGAAAGAAAAGGCATCCAAACTGGAAAAGATAAAGTCAAATTATCCCTGTTTACTGATTAAATGACCTTATATCTAGAAAACTCTAAAGATGCCACCAAAAAACTCTTAGATTTGATAAATGCATTCAGTAAAGTTTTAGGATACAACATAAATGTACAAAAATTAGTAGCATTTTATGCAAATTTGAACCACAGTGAGATACCACCTTACCTCAGTAGAATGGCCATTCTTTAAAAATTCAAAAAACAATAGATGTTGCTGCAGATGTGATGAAAAGAGAACACTTATACACTGTTGGTGGGAACATAAATTAGTGCAACCTCTATGGAAAACAGTATGGAGATTTCTCAAAGAACTAAAAGTAGATCTACTATTAAATCCAGCACTCCCGCTACTGGGTATCTACCCAAAGGAAAATAAATCATTATATAAAAAGACACCTGCATTTTTATGTTTATCACAGCACAATTCACAATTGCAAAGTTCTGGAATCAAGCTAAATGCCCATCAATTGATGAGTGGATAAAGAGAATGTGATGTATACACACACACACACACACCATGGAATATTATTCAGCCATAAAAAGGAACAAAATAATGTATTTTATAGCAACATGGATGGAATTGGAGGCCATTATCTTAAGTGAAGTAACTCAGGAATGGAAAACCAAATACTGCATGTTCTCTAAGTGGGAGCTAAGTTATGGGTATGCAAGTGTATATAGAGTAGTATAATGGATATTGGAAACTCAGAAGGGGAAAGATTGGGAGGGGAGTAAGGGTTAAAGAACTACTTATTGGGTACAATGTTCACTATTTGGGTGTCAAGCACACTAAAAGCACAGACTTCACCACTTCACAATTCATCCATGTAACCAAAAATGATTTGTACTCCTAAAATTACTGAAGTAAAAAAATTCACAATGTTCCAAAAACTCCCTAAAATCACTAGCATGTCTATACAGCAATAACGATCTAGCTGAGAATTAAATAAAGAAGGCAATCTCATTTAAAATAGCTAACCCCCAAAATACCTAGGAAGAATATATTTAATCAAGGTGGGGAAAGATCTCTACAAGGACAACTACAAAACACTGATAAGAGAAATTGTGGATGACATCAACAAATGGAAAAGCATCTCATGCTCTTGGATCAGAACTATTAACATCATTAAAATGACCATACTGCAAGCTGCAAACCAGTCTACAGACTCAATGCAATCCTTATCAAAATACCAATGTTATTTTTCACAAAATTAGAATTAGAAAAAATAATCCTAACATTCATATGAAATATAAAAAACTTAAATAGCCAAAGGAATCCCAAGCTGAAAGAACAAAGCTGGAGACATCACAATACCTGACTCCAACTTATACTACAATCTTAGTAACCAAAGCAGCATGATGCTGTTATAAAAATAGACACATAGATCAATGGAACAAAATAGAGAAGCCAGAAATAAAAGCACATATCTACAGCCAACTGATCTTTGGCAAAGTCAACAAGAGCATACACTGGAGAAAGGACCCCCTTTTCAATAAATGGTGCTGGGAAAATTGGGTTGCCATATGCAAAAGAATGAAACTAGACCCCTGTCTCTCACCATATGCAAAAATCAACTCAAGATGGACTAAATACTTAAGTATAAGACTTGAAACTATAAAAATACTAAAAGAAAACCTAGGAAAAACTCTTCTAAACATTGGTCTAGGCAAAGAATTTATGACTAAGATCTCAAAAGCACAGACAACAGAAACAAAAAAAATAGACAAATGGGACTTAATTAAACTAAAAAGCATCCGTACAGGAAAAAACTCATCAACAGAGTGAACAGACAACCTGCAGAATTGGAGAAAATTGCACTAGATATCTGACAGGGGACTAATATCCAGAATTTACAAGGAACTCAAATAACTTAGCAACAACAAAAATGAAACAAATAACCCCATTAAAAATGGGCAAAGAACATGAGTAGATATTTTTCAAAAGAAAACATACAAATAAATGGCCAACAAGCATATGAAAACTGCTCACTATCAGAGAAATGCAAATTAAAACCATAATGAGATATCATCTTACACCAGTCAGGATGGCTATTATTATTATTATTATTTTTGAGACAGAGTCTCACTCTGTCCCCCAGGCTGGAGTGCAATGGTATGATCTTGGCTCACTGCAACCTCCGCCTCCTGGGTTCAAGCCATTCTCCTGCCTCAGCCTCCCAGGTAGCTGGGACTACAGGCATGCGTCACCATGACCAGCTAATTTTTGTATTTTTAGTAGAGATGGGGTTTCACCATGCTGACCAGGCTGGTCTCGAACTCCTGACCTCAAGTGATCCACCCACCTTGGCCTCCCAAAGTGCCGGGATTACAGATGTGAGCCACCATGCCCGGCCAGGATGGCTATTATTAAAAAGACAAAAAACAAATAGATGTTGGTATGGATGTGGGAAAAGTGAACATATATACACTTATACATTATTACAACCTCTATGGAAAGCAATATGGAGATTTCTCAAAGAACTAGAAATAGAACTACTCTTTGCACCAGGAATCCTATTACTAGATATCTACTCAAAGGAAAATAAGTAATTACATCAAAAAGATACCTGCACTTGTATGTTTATCATAGCACTATGCACAATAGCAAAGATATGGAATCAACCTAAATGTTCATCAATGTATAATTGGATAAATAAAATGTGACATATATATATATATATATATATATATATATATATATATATATCTCCAAGAAAATACTATTCAGCCATAAGAAAATGAAATCATGTCTTTTGCAGCAACACGGATGGAACTGGAGGCCATTATCTTAAGTGAAACAACTCAGATACAGAAAGACAACTATTGCATGTTCTCATGTATAAGAGGGAATGAAATAATATGTACACATGGACACAGTATGGAATGATAGACAATACTCAGAAGAGTGGGAATGGGGCAGGGGGTGGATGATAAGTTACTTAATGAGTACAATATACATTATTCTGGTGATAAATACACTAAAAACCCTGACTTCAACACTATGCAATACATCCAAGTAACAAAATTACACTTATATCTCATAAATTTATAAAGACAAAATAAAATGTAAAGAGAAACAAAAACAAAGATCATTTTCTTTTTTTTATTATTATACGTTAAGTTTTAGGGCACATGTGCACAATGTGCAGGTTTGTTACATATGTATACATGTGCCATAATGGTGTGCTGCACCCATTAACTCGTCATTTAACATTAGATATATCTCCTAATGCTATCCCTGACCCCTCATTTTCTGAGGATTTGTGGGAGACATTCAGTCAACAGATTGATAGAATTGACAGAGAGATCACCTCTTGAATTTTTTCTACTTATCTGGCAACTTTTCAATCTCTTTTACAAGTGCTTCCTTCTTTTCCCTCTCCTTTAGGTTTTCCAGTTCCCAGGAATTCACACTCAATCATCTTCTCCTTTCACTAGGGATAATCTTTGGGGAAGGTCTTACCTTCACCCATGACTTCCACCAATACTAATGGCTCCCTTGTCTGTTTCACAAGCCTAGATATTTCTCTTCTGTTTCAGACCCATAAATCCAACAGCCTCTAGACATCTCACTGAGACTCATCTAAAACTGTGTCATCATTTACCAGTCAAACTTGCCATAATTTTGGCCTCAGGCCTTCCTTTGTTTCCTGACCTAATTATAGGGGAAAAATCCTCTAAACTCATTCCACTTCCAGTCTTGCCAACTTTCAAGCATTTAATTCACCTTTTGGAAGGAGAGGTCATTTCTTTGTTTAAAATTCATCAGTGTCTCCCTATTACCTGCAAGATAGGTATTTTAATCCTGCTAGATATCCAGTCTTCTCTCCTATTTCTTACTTACTTCAACCCCTTAATGAACTACTTGCAGTTACTTGGACATGGGTTTGGTTGACTCTTAAGATTACAGGAAACAGAGACTTATTCTAGCCATCTAAGGTAGTCAGAAGTTGTAAAAACTTTATAAAATAATGTAGAAAAAAAGAATCTCACACAAAACCAGAAGTAGCTGCCATTCAGTGCCTAAGCCATCAAACCCTTTGGTCAACCCTTATGCAGTAAGATTCTATGGGCTTTGCAGTAGTATTCCACCACTATTCTTTTACTCCCTTATTTTCTTTTTATACCTTGTATTTATCTGTCCACTATCAATTGTCTGATACTTTCCAAGATACCTGCCCATTATTTCTGCTCAGATGCCAAAGGTAGAGCCTATGATTGACCTAGTTAACTGTCATTGCTCTTCTAGGCATAGTTTTTGGCCACAAATCTTCTCATATATTACCAGCCAGTCCATCAGAACTGATGGCCCCTGTGCCAAGTGCCAATTTCCAGTCCATTAAGTGGTTACTTTTGCCAAGATGACTTCTCTCAGCATGGAGGTTTAAAGAGCGTGAATACCCACAAAAAGAGATAATGGAATGGTCAGGAATCATAACTAGCATGTATATTAGGTAAGCCATTCACAGATTGTAAATTGAGGTAGGAAAAAACATAATTTTTATTTCTCTATAACTGAACTAAATTGCTATATGGAACCCTTACCCTACCAACAGCAAAAGTTAGGTTTGGTTTATTTAAGGCAAGTCACTAAGTTCAGAATTTTTTCAGTCAAATGAGAGTTCTTCCCTTTCTTCCTTTCCACACATCTTAAATTGGGTTACCCTAAAAGCAGCACCTGAGATGAGGAGTTGGGTTCTGGTAGTTTATTTGCAATATAATCTTTGGAAACAGGATTGAGAGAACAAAAACAGAGACATGGAAGAAGGAAAAGACAGTAGAGTCTGTTACTGAGTGGTGGCCAAGTGGGGCTGTACCCCACTAGGGCCTCTTGAGAACTGGATAGAGTGCAATTCATAATTATCTCTGAAAAACAGGATGTTGGAGCAGTTGTCCTTCAACTTCTACTCATCGGTTGAGAATTTCTCCTGGGGGCACTAACTGCCCTGTACTTCTAGACTATCCTGTAGGCAAGTTGAGCAAGCTCTCATACCTTCAGAAAAATCCTAAGATAGTAAAGTGTAAAATTTGAGTGCATGCTTGGGATAATTTGTCAATAGGATGCACAAGAACTGTCCACCATAGCTGCAGCTAATATTTGAGAGTGGTCAAAATGGATGTGGTATGGACACCAGAATTTTCTACTACACTCCAGGAGAAAAGCCATGATGTACTGTGTCGATAGGAAAGTAGTATCTGGTATTCAGGTGTCATAATCTATCTAAACTGGCATCGATTGAGACATTTAAGGCTCCACTTATCTACTGTTTTTATTTCTTAGCTCTGCTAGATGATCCTAAGTTATCCACATTTCCCCCTGGTCCCCAATTTTCAAGTACATGAAGGACAATCTGTGCCCTCCTTCCCACGATCACAGGACCCCACAAGTCATCTACTTTCTCTCAGCTCCCTCTGCACTCCTTTCAGAGGGAGGCTCTAAATGGAAGCTTGAGGACCTATCCTTAAAGGTGAGGGCTTGTGGACTCATTCCCAGAGACACACATCAAGTTCCAACTCCAGTATTTGCATCTCCTCACCCTCCTCTCCTTCATGCTAGCCTGTGAGAATGCTACTTAATTTAAGAAGGTGGGAAAACCTGACCTGACTGATTTCATGTGCTTCTATGTCTTTTATTTAAGCCATAAAAATTGTGTCCTGAATTCTTTAGGGAACTGACTCTTGATACTATTCTTACAACTCAATTTTTTTTCTTTAAACTATTCCAAGGGTTTAGGCTGTATTGAGCCTGAAAAGCTGAGCATTGAGTCCTTTATTTACTTCTTTGTATTTCTTTAAAAGCAACTGTTCCCTGAGAGCAATAAGTATAGAATATTCTCTCATTTTGGGTTTCTAGAAACAGACCATGAGATAAGGGTTTGTATGAAAGTGATTTATTAGGACATGTTTTTCCCCAAAAACCTATAGAGAAGTAAGGAGATAGAATAGAGAAGGAAAGAAAGTCAAAGAGAGATGTAATATCAAACTAAGTCCTGCAGAGGATAACTTTGGCTCTATCCGTGGATATAACCCTGTAGACAATGGAGGTCACTCTTTTGAGTTTTTCCCCTGAAGGGGCAAGGGAGTTTGAATACCTATCCTCTCATCTCATCAGTAATTGGTTAACAGCTGCCCATGAGGAGGGTAGAGAAGAAAAGAAGGGGAGTGGGAATTGTGGCACAAATTCCAAGGCATATCTGCAAATTCCATTCTAATAGCATCTGTTAGAAACACCCTGCTATGGTTGGAATGTGTCTCTCAAAATTCACACATTTGAAAACTTAATCCCCAATGCAACAGTTTTAGGAGGTGGGGCCTAATGAATGGTGACTGGGTCATGAGGGTTCTGCTGTCACTAATGGATTAACGTAGTTATAACAACAGTAGGTCAGTTATTGTTAGAGTGAGTTATTATGAAAATGAGCCCAGCCCCTTGTGCTTTATCTTTCACATGTACACACTTGTCCTTCCACCTTTGCAATGGAATAATGAAGCCCAAAGTCCCTCCCCAGATGCTAATGCCAGCTCTTGTACTTCCCAGCCTCCAGAAATGTAAGAAATACACTTATTTTTAATAAACTATCCAGTTTGTGGTATCCTGTAATAGCAACACAAAATGGACTAAGACTGATAATTGGTACTAAGAAGTAAGTGTACTGTTATGATAAATACTTGAAAATGTGGAAGAGGCTTTGAAACTGGGTAATAGATAGATGCTGGAAGAATTTGGAGGAGCAGGCTAGAAAAAGCCTGTATGTCATAAAAGAAACATTAAGGGCAATTCTGATGAGGGCTCAGAAGAAGACTCCAGAAATAAGGTAAGTCTAAATCCTCTTACAGGTTATTTAAGTGATTGTGACCAGAATGCTGGTAGAAATATGGACAGTAAAGGCCATTCTGATGAGATCTTAGATGTAAATGAGAAACAAGGTATTGGAAACCGGAGGAAAGGCCATCTTTGTTATACAGTTGCAAAGAACTTGGCTGCATTGTGTCCATGCTCTAGGGATTTATGGAAGCCAGAATGTAAGGGCAATGAAATAGGATATTGAGCATAAGACATATCTAAGCAGCAAAGCATTAAAGCTGCTGCATGTCTGCTTTTGGCCACTTATATTTAGATGCAAGAGGAAGGGGATAATTTTAAAGACATAATTGATAATTAATGGAGAAGCGGAGTGGAAAGATTTGGAAAATTCACAGCCTGGCCACGTAAAGAGTGAAAAAGTATGTTTACGTGAGGATACTAACGGCATGGCCAAGTGACCTTTTGCTAAAGAGATTACTATGGATGGAAGGAAGCCATGTGCATCAAGACAATGTAAGGAACACCCTGTGTTACTCCATTTTGCTTTGCTACAAAGAAATTATTGACGCTGTGTCATTTATAAAGAAAAAAGATTTATTTTGGTTCATGGTTCTGCAGGCTGCACAAAAAGTACAATGCTGGCTAATACTGGCTTCTGCTTTTGGTGAGGGCCCCAGGAAGCTTACAATCAGGGCAGAAGTTGAAAGGTGAGCAGGCATGTCACATGGTGAGAGAGGGAGCAAGACAGAGGGGAGGAAGGGCCAGGTTATTTTTAACAATCATATCTTGTGATAACTTAGAGTGAGAACTCACTCATTACTGCAAGGACAGCACCAAGCCATTCATGAATGATCCACTCCCATGACTGTAACACCTCCCATAAAGCCCCACCTCCTGGGGCTTCCAGTGTTGGAGGTGGGGCCTTATGGGAGGTGTTTCAACACATTTCAACATGATATTTGGAAGATACAAATATCCAAACTATATCATACCTTGAAGGCATTTCAGAGATCTTTTAGAATGCCCCTCTCATTACAGACTCAGAGCTTTAGGAGAGCAGAATGGATTGTTTTGAGACACAGGCCTGGGGTGCCCTCCATGGGCTCATAGCCCAGAGTTGCCTCAGGTTTCTGCTCCCTGCGTTCCAGCACAGTATTCCTTATCTTCCCCAGCTAACGTGGATTCAGGTGCCATGCTGTCTGCTACTCCTGGAGGTACAGGCCATAGATCTTGGCAATGTCCATGTGGTGTTAAGTCTGCAGGCAAGCAGCCTAAGAGAAAAGTGTATACCAGTAAACACCTACATCAGAAAGGAAGAAAGATCTCAAATAAACAACCCAATGTTATACCCCAACGAACCTGGAAAAGAAGAACAAACTAATCCCAAAGTTAATAGAAGGAAGGAAATAATAAATACCAGAGCAAAAACAGATAAAATAGAGATTACAAAAGCAATACAAAGGATCAACAAAGCTAAGAGTTGGTTTTATGGATGGATAAACAAAATTGACAAAACTTTAGCTAGACCAACTAAGAAATAAGAGAAGGCTAAAAAAAATCAGAAATGAAAGAGGAGATATTACAACTAATGCCACAGAACAACAAAGGACAGTAAAAGACTAGTATACACCAACAAATTGAATAAGCTAGAAGAAATTGATAAATTCCTAGACAAATGCAATCTACCAAAATTGAACCATGAAGAAATAGAAAATCTGAACAGATCATTAATGAGTAACAAGTTGAATCAGTAACCAAAAGACTATCAAAGAAAAGCACAGTACCTGATGTCTTCACTGCTGAATTTTCCTAAACATAACCAACCCTAATTCAAGAATTAATATAAGAAGAGCAAACATAACCATTAATTGAAGAAATAATACTAATCCTTCTCAAACTCTTCCAAAACATTGAAGAAGAGGGAATATTTCCAAACTCAGTTTATGGGGCCAGCACTACCCTGATACCAAAGCCAGATAAGGATACTACAAGAAAAGAAAGTTACATGCCAATTTCTCTGATGACAATAGATGCAAAAATCCTCAACAAAATACTAGCAAACCAAATTAAACAGTACATTAAAAGGATCATTCACAATGGTCAAGTGAAATTTAACCCATGGATGTAAGGATGGTTCAACACACACGAATCTATAAATATGATACACCACATTAACAGAATAAAGGACAAAGCCCATGATTATTTTAATAGGGGCAGAAAAAACATTTGACAAAATTCAACATTCTCTTATAATAACAGCTCTCAACAAATTAGGTATGGAAGGAATGAACCTCAACACAATAAAGGCCATACATAACAAATCCAAAGTTAACATCATATTTAATGACGAAAACTTGAAGTTTTTCCTCTGATATCAGGAAGCAGTACAATGATGCACACTCTCACTACTTCTATTCAACATAATACTGGAAGCCCTAACTAGAACAATTAGAGAAGTGAAAGATTATAAAAAGGCATTCAAATTGGAAAGAAAGAAGTTAAATTGTCCCTGTTCACAACAACATGACTATATAAATAGAAAATGCTAAAGACTCTACAAAAAAAACAGTTAGAATAAGTGAATTCATTAAAGATGGAATGTATGATTTTGTGGGATATGAAATCATAATGTATAATTTTTTAGGATACAAAATTAACATACAAAAATTAGTGGTATTTTTATTAACCAACAACAAACTATCCATTAAAAATTGAGAAAACAAGCCCATTTAAAGTAGCTAAAAATAAAATAAAATACTTAGTATTAAATTTAACAAAGGAGGTAACAAAAAACTTGTACACTGAAAGCTATAAAATATTGATAAAATAAATCGAAGAAGATACAAATAAATGGAAAGACATTTGTATTAATGGGTTGGAAAAATTAACATTGTTAAAATGCCCATATCACCGAAAGCTATGTACAGATTAAAATGCAATCCCTATCAATTCCAATGGCATTTTTCACAGAAATAGAAAAAACAAATCCATCCTAAAATTTGTGTGCAGCCACAAAAGACCTCAAATAGCAATCTTGATAAAAATTAACAAAGCTGGAGGCATCATAATACCAGATGTCAAAACATGCTGCAAATCTATATTAATCAAAACAGCATGGTACTAATATAAACACACACACACACATAGATAAACAGAATAGAATAGAAATCCAAGAAATAATTCCATACATTTAAGGTCAATTGATTTTTTACGAAGGTGCCAAGAACACACAGTGGGGAAATAACAGTCTCTTCAATAAAGAGGGTACTGGAAAAACTGCATTTCCACGTTTAGAAGAATGAAATTAGACCATTATCTTACACTGTATACAAAAATCCACTGAAAATGGATTCAAGATTTGTTTTTTAATTTTATTTATTTATTAATATTTTTTAAGACACTCTGTCACTAAGGCTGGAGTGTTGTAGGGCAATCATAGCTCACTATAGTCTTAAACTCCTGGACTCTAAGTGATTATTTCACCTCAGCCTCTTAAGTAGCTGGGACTACAGGTGCATGCCACCACACTGGCTAATTTTTTTTTATTATATTGTAGAGATAGGGTCTCACTATGTTACCCAGGTTGTTCAGATTAAATATTTAAACATCAAAACAGAAACTGTTAAATTACTAGTAGAAAACATAGGGGAAAGCTTCATGTCATTGGTCTGGGTAATAATTTTTTTTTGAATATGACCCCAAAAGCACAGGCAACAAAAGTGAAAGTAGACAAATGGGATCATGTCAAATTAAAATGTTTCTGGACAGCAAAAGAAACAATCAACAAAGTGAAGTGACAACTTACAGGCTGAGAAAAGTATTGCAAATCATGCATCTGGTAAGGCTTAATATCCCAAATATATAAGGAACTTGTGATGGTTAATACTGAGTGTCAACTTGATTGGATTGAAGGATACAAAGTGTTGGTCCTGGGTGTGTCTGTGAGGGTGTTGCCAAAGGAGGTTAACATTTGAGTCAGTGGGCTGGGAAAGGTAGGCCCATCCTTAATCTGGGTGAGCACAATCTAATCAGCCACCAGTGTGGCTGGAATAAAAAGCAGGCAGAAAAACGTGAAGAGAGAGATGGGCCTAGCCTCCCAGCCTACATCTTTCTCCTGTGCTGGACGCTTCCTGCCCTCAAACATTGGACTCCAAGTTCTTCAGTTTTGGAACTCAGACTGGCTCTCCTTGCTCCTCAGCCTGCAGACGGCCTATATGGGACCTTGTGATCATGTGAGTTAATACTTAATAAACTCCCCTTCATATATATATACATATATATGTATATGTATATGTATATGTGTATATATATATTTGTATATATATGTATATATATATACAAATACATATACACATATACATATACATATATACATATACACATATACATATATATATATATGCACATATATATATTCCATTAGTTCTGTGCCTGTTTAGGATGCTAACTAATACAGAATTGAAACAATAGCAAGAAAACAAATAACCCAATTAAAAAATGGGCAAGGACCTGCATACACACTTCTCCAAAGAAGACATACTAATGGTCAACAGGTATATGAAAAAAACTCAATATCACTAATAATCAGGGAAATACAAATTGAAACCACAATGAGATATCACTTCACATTTGTTAGAATGGCTATATAAAGAAGATGAAAAATAACAAGTGTTGATGAAGATATGGAGAAAAGAGAACCATTACACACTGTTGGTGGGAATGTAAATCAATGCAGGCATTATGGAAAAGAGTATGGAGGTTCCCAAAAAATTAAAGATAAAACTATCATACGATCCAACAATCCCACTATGGGGTATGTATCCAAAATAAATGAAATAAGTATGTGTTAGCTCATGCTTGTGTTGCTATAAATACCTGAGGCTGGGTAATTTGTAAAGAAATGAGGTTTAATTGGCCCATGATTCTGCAGGCTGTAAAGGAAGCATAGCACTGGCATCTACTCAGCTTCTGGTGAGGGCTTCAGGAAGCTTACAATCATGTCAGAAGGTGAAAAGGGAGCAAACCTCTCACATGGCAACAAAGGGAGTAAGAGAGAGGGAGAGGCACCATACATTTTTGAACAACCAATTCTCATGAGAACTTACTCAGTATCACAAGGACAACATCAAGCCACGAGAGATCTGCCCCCATGACCCAAATATCTCCCACCAGGCCCCACCTCCAACACTAGGGATTACATCTCAATATGAAATTTAGAAGGGACATCCAAAGTATATCAAAGTATGTCAAAGAGAACATTCCCATGTTCACAGAAGCATTATGCACAAGAGCCAAGAAGTGGAATCAAACTAAGTATCCATCAACAGATAAGTGTATAAAGTAAATATCTATATATACAGAATGTAATATTATATACCTGTAAATGAGAAGAAAATCCTTTTATTTGCAGCAACATGGATGAATCTGTAGGATGCTATGTTAAGTGAAATAAGCCAGACACAGAGAGGCAAATACCTAATAATCTCCCTTGTATGTGGAATCTTAAAAAGTTGAAACCATAAAAGCAGAGTGAAAAATAGTGGTTACTGGGGGCTGGGGGTGAAGGGATTGGGGTGATGTTGGTCAAAGGATACAAAATTTCAGTTAAATAGGAGGAATAAGGTCAGGAAATCTATTGTAAAACATGGTGACTATAGTTAATAACAATTTATTGTATTCTTGAAAATCAAAGAGAGAATAGATTTTTACTGTTCTTACCACAAAAAAGATAAGTATGTGAGGTGATGTATATGTTAATTAGATTGTGTTAGTCATTCCACAATATATACCTATTTGAAAACATGTTGCACATGATAAATACATACAGTTTTTATTCATCAATTTAGATAAATAAGAAACACTTTCACAATTATTTAAATAGGGGATTGGTATGAGCAGCAAGAAATCATAGAAAAAGAAACATGGAATAGCATTTCAAAATTTATGTTCCTGACATGCATATTTACTAGTTTTAACTCCCCGTGCTGTGTTGCACCACCATGAATTTCACATGGTGATAGTCTGTATATTTTCCTTTTCTGTCTGGCCAATTACTCTTTCTGCAAAAATTAGCCTCCCCAGTCCCAACCTCTCTTCCTCTCTGCTCCCATAGTATCCTCTGAGGATAAGTCTATTACCATTAGACTTCCCCTATTAGAATTTGGAGTCCATAAGAGACTACTTTGATCATTCCAGTATTCCCAGCCCTAAGAGTTCTGTAAATGCTTAGAAAAAAATAGCTGATGGTGTATAGTTCACTCAGAGCCTTGGAAGAGTGAAGGCAAACCTTGTCTTGTGCCTCCACCCAGTGCATTTTTATTCTGGTATAATAAATTTACAATGAACATTAAGAAAAATAATTTAGGAGACACAATGTCAAAAATGGTGGCATGTAGTTTCAGGGGTGAATATGAAAGGGGAGAAGCTAATTTAAATCATGTTGCCTTGATGATGGAAAGACTGGCTGACTGAGGAAGGTTTGTTTATGAGCACAAGGGTGGTTTTTAGCATTAACCAGGAAGGACACCTCTTTCAGTTACCATGAGAAGTGTGGAATACCCCCAAAAGAAGGTCAGGTTGTTCTAGGTTGGGTATGACATGGGGATAGCTCTCCAGGCATATGTGCAGTTGCCAAAGTTTAATGATGATATGAATGTATGGATTGATAAATGGATGGATGGATGAATGGATAGAAGGAAAGATAGATAGACATAAGTTATCAACTGGGTATAATTAGATTTGACTAGATTACAAAATTCTAGTAGAAATAATGCATTATTAACTAAGAAGCAGATTTCTTTTTAGGACAGACACAATCATGTTAAAATAGATTTTTAGATTCATAGAAAATGTATTCATAGATTATAATTGAGCAGTTATGAGAAGAAAAATAATTGAGCATGAAGTGAGCAATCTGACTTATTTAGTAAACAGAGAGTAATTATTGAGCTTTGATGGTTTCCAAAGCAAGCAACTCTTATAGTTATGTCTATCAAAGCTGATAAGAACATAATATGTTGTGATTTTAGTGGATTAAAAATCAAATTGCCTAGTGGGATCCTCCTTCTAATTCTTAGGATTGATGATATCTATGCCAAGTTAATGGAAGGAGGCATTCATTGAGTGTTGCCCACACATTAAAAAGTAGAACTGATAGACTTTTTAAATATCCTGTAATTCCAGTAGAGTTTTGGTTTCTGATCATTTTTCTTTGAGGAAAGTTACTGAGCTACGTTATATTCTGGACCATATAAAAGGAGATTTTTGTACAGGACTTTTGTGTGTAGTTATAAAAACCAAGACACACCCCCACATGTACTCCTCCTGGTTGTGAATTAATCACAACACAATATTTCATTGCACTTTGTACTTTTAGAACTGCATTATATTATATCTCACATCTCTGTCTGTTTCTTCCACTAGATTAAAACTTCAAGTCCATGTACCTGGAACTGTGCCTGGAACATAGTCTTTAACTTTTCTTCTTAAACAATTCAGCTCAAAAGTTAACCCTGATGCTCCTCTAAAACAGTTAATTGTCTCCACCTTATGATTCTATCATACTTCATTCATAATACTGTTCAGGTACTTAGCCCATTGTACTATTATTTATATAGACATCCTAATTCCCTATTGAGCAATTACCTACTGAAGGGAAAAGATGCCAAATATTTATGATTTTTGTCCTTAGCACCTAACATAATGTCTGCCACATAGTAGGTACTCAATAAATATCTGTTGAATTAAAATGTAGTGAATAGTCTGGGCACTGTGGCTCACACCTCTAATCCCAGCACTTTGGGAGGCCAAGGTGGGTGGATCACTTGACCCCAGGAGTTTGAGACCAGCCAGGCCTACATGGCAAAAACCCATTTATACCAAAAGCACAAAAACTAGTCAGGCATGGTGGTGCATGTCTGTAATCCCAGCTGCTTGGGAGGCTGAGGCATGAGAATCACTTGAACCCAGGAGGCAGAGGTTGCAGTGAGCCGAGATCATGCCACTGCACTCCAGCCTGGGTGACAGAGCGAGACTATGTCTCAAAAAAAAAAAAATCAGTGAATAGTTTATCTACCGAGATAAAAATGAAACTCCCTGAAATATGATTCAAGTTCAGAATAGGAAATATAAGTAAATTCCAACTTTCAGGGGTAATTATTAGTACTGGAAGGCAAATGCTTGATAAAAGATCAAGCAGCAACTTCACTAGAAAATGATCGTGCATTCTTTGGTCCTGCTAAAAGGCGGCCACTATGTTGGCATCATTTTGCATTATTTATTGCAGGAATAAATTTTTAATCAAGGATCTCCCATAAAATTTGATTGTTTAGTATATCTTAAAATCTATAATTCAAATCTAAAAGCTCGATGGATGGCAGAGCAAGATGACAGAATAAAACCATCCAGGGATTGTCCTCCACAGAAACATCAATTTGAACACTATCCATGCACAAAAAAATCCTTCACAGGAGCTCAGAAAACCAGAGGAGAGATCACAGTACCTTGTTTTAGCATAATAACAAGAAAAGATGCATTGAAGAATGCAGGAAGGGTGGTTTTACATTACCCAAGGCATCCACCCCAAGCCCCAGGCAGCAAAGCAAAGAAAGAGATACAATCGGCCAGGCTCGGTGGCTCATGCCTGTAATCCCAGCACTTTGGGAGGCTGAGGCAGGCAGATCACGAGGTCAGGAGATCGAGACCATCCTGGCTAATGCGGAGAAACCCCATCTCTACTAAAAATACAAAAAATTAGCCAGGCGTGGTGGCGGGCACCTGTAGTCCCAGCTACTCGGGAGGCTGAGGAAGGAGAATGGCATGAACCCGGGAGGGAAAGCTGGCAGTGAGCCGAGATCGTGCCACTGCACTCCAGCCTGGGCAACAGAGCGAGACTCCATCTCAAAAACAAAACAAAACAAAACAAACAAAAAAAAACAAAGAAAGAAAGAGATACAATCTACCTGGGGGAAGGAGGAGGAAGTAAGTGCAGAACATTGGCTTGCAACACAATAACAGGCCTGCAATAGTAAAACCCAACACTGGGTGGAATCCCTCAGCCCCTGACACCAAACCAATACCCATGGACAGAGCTTCTAGATTTGCCTTGGTGCCAGACATGAACTTGTGACACCAGTGGTATGGATTCATATTCCAGCCCACATCACCACTAGCCAATAACAGCAACCTCAGGCTCTGAATAAACCTCAGCAGAAGGTTCAGCCTTAGGTGGATCCCAGTACTGCACTGGTCTCAGCAGCTGTGGTCTTCAGGTACACCTCAATATTGGCTTAGCCTCAGTGGGTGTGGAATTGCCCACTTCACCCCTTTCCTAGCCCCAGGTAGCACTGCATGGAGAAAGACACCATGTGCTTGTGGGAAGGAAAAAGAGGTGGCATAGAACATCACCTTGCAACCCAGTACTGACTTGCTTCAGTAAAACTCAGCACAGGGCAGGGCCCCTCAGTCCCTGATACAAGGCTGGTGCCCATAAATGGAGCCTCTAGGCCCACCCCAGTGCCAAACAGGAGCCTGCAGCCCCAGTGGAATGGACTTTCGTTACAACCCACATTACCACCAGCCAGCTACAGCAGACTTTGGCCCTAAATAAACTTCAGTGGAGGGCAGGCTGCAGTAGCCACATACCTTGGGTACATCCCAGTGCTATACTAGTCTGAAGAGCTGTGAGCTTTGGGTGCAACACAGCACTGTGTCAGACTCAGTAGTGAAAGGATTCTAGCTCTGGTGGTCCTGGGCTTGAGGTGCCCCTAGTGTTGCAACGGTTGAAGTGGTCATTGCTTAGGGTCATGGGTTACCAGTCAACCTGCCCTGTTTCTCTGAACAGGCTTACTTCTGAAGGAATCTTACAAACAAAGCCAGGCTTTGAAGACTGAATTAGGTGCCTATGTCAATGCTCAGACAACAATGCACAGCCACAAGGGGCAAGATCAAACAGGGAAGTATTACATCACCAAATGGACAAAATAAGGCACCAGTGACTGAGTCTAAAGAGATGGTGATAGATCTTCAACAAAGTCGATAAAAACAAGCAATGGAAAAAGGATTCACTATTTAATAAATGGTAATGGGATACCTGGCTAGCCATATGAAGAAGATTGAAAGTGGAACCTTTCCTTATACCATATACAAAAATCAACTCAAGATACATGAAAGACTTAAATGTAAAACCTAAAATTACAAAAACTCTTGAAGAAAATCTAGGAAACATCATCCTAGACATAGGCCCTGGCAAAAATTTTATGACAAAGACACCAAAAGCAATTGTGACAAAAACAAAAATTGACAAATGGGACCTAATTAAACTAAAGGATTTCTGCACAGCAAAAGAAACTATCAACAGAGTAAATAGACAACCTACAGAATGGGAGAAAAATATTTGCAAACTATGCATCTGACAGTGGTCTTATATACAGAATCTGTAAGGCATGTAAATAAGTCAACAAGCAAAAACCAAACAACCTCATCATAAAAAGTAAGCAAATGACATGAACAGACATTTCTCAAATTAAGACACACATGTGGCCAATAAGCATGAAAAAACACTCAAATCACTAATCATTAGAGAAATGAGAACCAAAACCACAATGAGATAACATCTCACACCAATCAGCATGGCTATTAGTAAAAAGTAAAAAATAAATAAAAAATAAATAAAAAATAAATAAATAAATAAATAAATAAATAAATAAATAACAGGTGCTGGCAAGGCTGTGGAGAAAAGGGAATTCATATACACTGCTGGTGAGAATGTAAATTAGTTCAGTCACTGTGGAAAGCAGTTTGGTGATTTCTCAAAGAACTTAAAACACAGCTACCATTTGACCTGGCAATTCCATTTTTGGGTATATAACCAAAGGAATATAAATAATTCTACTATAAAGACAAACGCATGCATATGTTCATCGCAGCACTATTCACAATAGCAATGATAGGAACTCAACCTAAATGCCCATCAGTGGTTGACTGGATAAAGAAAACGTGGTACATATGCATCATGGAATACTATGCAGCCATAAGAAATCATGTCTTTTGCAGGAACATGGATGGAGATGGAGGCCATTATCCTAAGCAATGTTTCTACAAAGTAATGCAGAAACAGAAAACCAAACACTCCATGTTCTCATGTATAAGTGGGAGCTAAACACTGAGTATACTAAATACAAAGAAAGGAAACAAAAGACTCCAGGGCCTATTAAAGGGTGGAGGGTGGGAGGAGCATGATGATTGAAAAACTACCTATTAGATACCATACTTATTATCTGGATGATGAAATAATCTGTACACCAAACTCCCACGACACACAATGTTATCTATAGAACCAACCTGCACATGTATCCTGGAAACAAAAATAAAAGTTAAAAAAAGAGGTGGACTTGGAAGAAATGCCTGATAAAGAGTTCAAAATAGCTGTTTCAATGAAGCTCAGCAAACTTCAAGAAAATTCAGATAAGCAATACAAAAATTTATCAGAGAAATTTAACAGATATATTGAAATAATATTTTTTTAAAACACAAATGCTGGAAGTTAAAAATATAAGAAACAAAATGAAAAAATGCAATGGAGAACATAGTAGCAGAATTGGCCAAGCAGAGGAAATAATCTGTGAACTGGAAGACAGACTAATCGAAAATATACACTAAAGGAGAGAAAAAGGATGTAATATAAAGGAATGAAGAAAGCTTACAGGAATTATAGGACAACATCAAAAGAGCAAACACATAGGTCATTGGAGTTCAAAAGAAAAAAGATAAAAAGAAAGGTAAAGAAAGTTCATTTAAAGAAATAATAACAGACAACTTTCTAGACGTAGAAAAACATATAAATATTCAGGTACAGGAAGGCCAAAGACCTACAATCAGATTCAATTCAAGTAAGACACAAATAAGAAAAAACATATGATAATCAAATTGCCAGAGATCAAGGCAAAGAGAGGCTCTTGAAGGTAGCAAGAGAAAAGAAGGGAATCACAATATGTCTAACAGCAAAATTATCAGCAGAAACCTTACAGGCAAGGAGACAGTGGGATAATATATTCAAAGTGTTGAAGGGGAAGAAACTTCCAACCAAAATTACTGTGTCCAGAAAAACTCCTTTAGAAATGAAGGAGAGGTAAATATTTTTTCCAGCTTAACAAAAGCTGAAGGCATTTATCACCACTAGACATGTCTTATAAGAAATACCAAAGAGAATTCTTCAAGTTGAAAGAAAAGGATGGTAACAAGAAAAATGAAAACATCTGAAAGTATGTAACTCACTGGTTAAAGTGAGTAAGCAGTCAAATTCTGAATACTGTAATAATGTAATGGTGGTGTGTAAATCACTTATATCTTTAGGATGACATTAAAAAACAAAACAATTAAAAACAATAATAACTAGAATAATTTAAGGAAAATGCAGTATAAAAAGATGTGAATTGTGACATCAGGAATTCAAAATGTTTGGTTGGGAGGCAAAAAGTAGAACTATTTTTCCTCTTTTTCTTTGTTGCAATCAAAGTTAATTTGTTATTAGTTTAAAATAACCTGTTAAAACTATAAGTTGTTTTTTATAAGCCATATGATAATCACAAAGCAAAAACCTATAATTGGTGCACTAAAAATAAAAAAAACAAGGAATCAAAACATAGTACTAAAGAAAACTCACTTAATTACAAAGGAAGGCAGTAAGCGGGGAGAAAGGAAGAGAAGAGCTGCAAAACAACTAGAAAACAATGAAAAAAATGGCACTAGAAAGTCCTTACCCAGCAAAAATTACCTCGAATGTAAATAAATTTTCGAATTAAAAGACATGAAGTGGGTGAATGGATTAAAACAACAAGACCCAACTATATGCCACCTACAAGAGACTCACTTCACATCTAAGAATATACATAGACTGAAAATAAAGTGAGAGAGGAAGATATTTCATGCAAATGAAAACCAAAAGATTTGGGGTAGCTATACTTATACCATACATATAGACTTTAAGTCAAAAACTATAAGGAGACAATAAGTCATTATATAATGACAAAGGAGTCAATTCAGTAAGAGAATATAACAAATTTTAAATATACATGCACTCAACATTGAAGTACCAAAATATATAAAGCAAACATTTGTAGATCTACATGGAGAGATAGACCATGATATAATAACAGTAGGGAACTTCAAAACCCACTTCCAGCAATGGACAGATCACCCAGAGAGAAAATCAGCAAAGAAATACTGGATTGAAATTGCTCTCTATACCAAAGGGACCTAACAGTCATTTACAGAACACTGCATCCAAAACTACAAAACACACATTTTTCTCTGATATGGTTTGGTTCTGTGTCCCCACCCAAATCTCACGTTGAATTGTAATTCCCAGTGTTAGGGGAAGACCTGGTGGAAGGTGACTGGATCATGGGGGTGAACCTACCTCATGCTGTTTTCATGATAGTGAGTGAGTTCTCATGAAATCTGATGGTTTAAAGAGTGTGTGGCACTTCCGCCCTCATTCTCTTTCTCCTGCCACCACTAGAAGGTGCTTTCTTCCCCTTCATCTTCCTCCATGATTTTAAGTTTCCTGAGGCCTCCCAGTCATGCTTCCTGTTAGGCCTGTAGAACTGTGAGTCAATTAAACCTCTTTTCTTCATAAATTACCCAGTTTCAGGTAGTTCTTTATAGCAGTGTAAGAATGGATTTAATATAGAAATTTGGTTCCAGGAAGTGGGGCATTGTTACAAAGACAGCTGAAAATGTGGAATTGACTTTGGACCTGAGTAATGGGCAGAGGTTGGAACAGTTTGGAGGGCTCAGAAGAAGACAGGAAGATGTGGGAATGTTTGGAACTTCATAGAGACTTGTTGGATGGTTGTGATCATATGTTGATAGTGATATGAACAATGAAGTCCAGGCTGAGGTGGTCTTGGATGGAGATGAGGAACTTATTGGGAACTAGAGCAAAGGTCACTCTTGCTATGCTTTAGCAAAGAGACTGGCAGCATTGAGTCCCTGCTCTAGGGATCTGTGGAAATTTGAACTTAAGAGATGATTTAGGGTCTCTGGAAGAAGAAATTTCTAAGAAGCAAAGCATTGAAGATGTGGCCTGGCTACTCCTAAAAGCCTATGCTCATTTGCATAAAAAAGAGATGGTCTGAAATTGGAACTTATATTTAAAAGGGAAGCAGAGCATTAAAGTTTGGAAAATTTGCAGCCTGACCATGTGGTAGAAAAAAAGTAAAATCCATTTTCTGGAGAGAAATTCAAGCTGGCTCCAGAAATTTGCATAAGAGGAGCCAAAGGTTCATAGCCAAAATAACGGGGAAAATGTCTCCAGGGCATTTCAGAGAACTTCACAGCAGCTCCTCCCATCACAGGCTCAGAGACATAGGAGGGAAAATGGTTTTCTGGGCCAGTCCCATGGTCCAGCTGTTCTGTGCAACCTCAGGACATGGCAACCCATGTCTCAGCTTCTCTAGCTCCAGCCATAGCTAAAAGGGGCCAAGGTACAGCTCAGACCATGGCATCAGAGGGTGCAAGCTCCAAGCCTTGGCAACTTTCTCCTGATGTTGGGCCTGCAGGTACACAGAAGGCAAGAGTTGAGGTTTGGAAACCTCCACCTAGATTTCAGAGGATGTATGGAAATGCCTGAATGTCCAGGCAGAAGTCTGCTGCAGGGGCAGAGCCCTCAGAGAGAACCTCCACTAGGGCAGTGCAGAGGGAAAATGTTGAGTTGAAGCCCCCACACAGAGACTCCACTGGGGCACTGCCTAGGGGAGCTGTGAGAAGACTGCCACTGTCTTTCAGATCCCAGAATGATGGATACACCGACAGCCTGCACTGTGCTCCTGGAAATGCAGCAGACATTAAATGCCAGCCTGTGAAAGCAGCCTAAGTGGTTGTACCCTGCAGAGCCACAGGGGCAGCTCAAGGCCTTGGGAGACCACCCCTTGCATCAGCAAATCCTGAATGTGAGACACAGAGTCAAAGGAGATTATTTTGGAGCTTTAAGATTTAATGATTGCCCTGCTGGGTTTCAGACTTGCATGCGGCCTGTAGCCCCTTTGTTTTGTCCAACTTATCTCATTAGAATGGGAGCATTTACCCAATGTCTGTATCCCCATCATACCTTGGAAGTAACTAACTTGTTTTTTATTTTAGAGGCTCATAGGCAGAAGGGACTTGCCTTGTCTCAGATAATACTTTGAGCTTGGACTTTTGGGTTAATGCTGGAGTGAGTTAAGAATTTGGGGGACTATTGGGAAGGCATGATTGTGTTTTGAAATGTGAGGACATGAGATCTGGGAGGGGCCAGGGGCAGAAATGATATGGTTTGGCCCTGTGTCCCCATCCAAATCTCATATTGTAATTCCCAATTTGGGGAGAGGAACCTGGTGGGAGGTGATTGGATCATGGGTACACATTTCTCCATGCTGCTCTTGTGATAGCAAGTGAGTTCTCACCAGTTCTGATGGTTTAAAAAGTGCGTGGCACTTCCCTCCTCACTCTCTCTTTCCCCTGCTGCCAGTAGAAACAGGTGCTTGCTTCCCCTTCACCTTCCACCATGTTTGTAAGTTTCCTGAGGCCTCTCATTCATGCTTCCTGTTAAGCCTGTGCAGCTGTGAGTCATTAAAACTCTTTTCTTCAAAATGAATGAAAAATGTAAATGTAAGAGTTGAAATGATAAAACTACTAAAAGAAAGCATGAAGGACACTCTTTTTTTTTTTTTTTTTTTTTTTTTGAAACAGAGTCTCACCCTGTCGCCCAGGCTGGAGTGCAGCGGCGTAATCTCCGCTCACTGCAAGCTCCGCCTTCTGGGTTCATGCCATTCTCCTGCCTCAGCATCCCGAGTAGCTGGGACTACAGGCGCCTGCCACCACACCCAGCTAATTTTTTGTATTATTAGTAGAAACGGGGTTTCACTGCGTTAGCCAGGATGGTCTCGATCTCCTGACCTTGTGATCTGCCCGCCTCGGCCTCCCAAAGTGCTGGGATTACAGGCATGAGCCACTGCGCCCGGCCCTAGGACACTCTTTATGGTAGTGGTCTGGGCGAGGATTTTTTGGACAACGCCTCAAAGCCATAGACAATAAAAGCATAAATAGACAAATGGGATTACATCAAATTTAAAAGCTACCGCTTGGCAAAGTAAACAATCAATAGAGTAAAGAGACCACCTATAGAATGGGAGAAAATATTTGCAAATTGCATCTCACAACACAACCTATATATCCACAATATAGAAGAAGCTCAAATAACCCAAAACAGAAAAAGAAAACAAATAATTTGTTTTAAAAATGGGCAAAATATCTGAATAGGCATTTCTCAAAAGAAGACATACATATGGTCAAAAAGTAGAGACAAATTGCTCAGCATCACTAATCATCATGAAATGAAAATCAAAGCTACAAAGTGAGATATTACTTCACCCCAATTAGAATGGCTATTATCAAAGACAAAAATTGCAAATGCTGGACAAAAGGGAACACTTATATATTGTCGATGGGAATATAAATTAATACAGTTGTTATGGAAAACAGTATGGAAGTTCCTTAAAAAAATTAAAACTAGAACTACCATATGATTCGGCAATCCTACTATAGAGTATATATCAAAAGGAAATAAAATCAGTGTCAGTATATTTGAACTCCCATGTTTGTTGCAGCACTATTCACAATACCCAAGGTATGCAACCAACCTAAGTGTCCATCGATGAATTACTGGAAAGAAAATGTATTACGTATGCACAATGAAATATTCTTCTGCAAAAAAGGATGAAATCTTGTCATCTGTAACAACATGGATGAACTGGAAGACATAATGTTATGTGAAATAAGTCAGATACAGAAAGACAAATACCACATGATATCACTCATATGTAGAATCGAAAGAAGTTTATCTCATAGGAGTAGAGAGTAGATTAGTGATTCCCAGAGGCTGGGGAGTGTGTGTCAGGGGATAGTGGTGGGTGAGATAGGGAGAGATTGGTCAACAGGTACAAAGTTACAGTTAGGAGGAATAAGTTCTGGTGTACTGTTGCACAGTAGAGTGACTATGGTTAACAATAGTTTATTGAATATTTCAAAATAGCTAAAAGAGAGAATTTTAAATGTGCTCACCACAAAGATATGAAAAGGTATAAAGTGATGAACATGATAGATACTCAGAGTTGATATTATGCAGTGTATACATGTATCAAAACATTACATCGCACCATAAATATGTAAAACTGATTTATCTGTGATTTAAAAATACAAATAAAAAATCTAAAAAATCATTTTGCTCCTCTTTATTGTTCAAAGCTAGTATATTAATAGGAATGATTATGATACAATCTAGAACTATTTACTCTTGTTTAATTAATTCAATTTAATTAGACATCTACAGAAGATGTTAGGTTGTATATAATTCAAGAAGGCATGATGAGGCTTCTTTTTTAGAAATATCTCACAAATAAAATTTAAAATCAAGAAAGAGAGAATTTAACTAGAAAGAAGCTAGCTTGAATCTAACCAAAAGGAAAGAGTCAGCAAAGTCAAACTAAGGAATACTATAGAGACTAAACTGTCTCTACTCTACAAAAAAATCAACTTCATTGAAGTAAAAGAAAGTCTGTAAAACTATTCAAGATTAGAGACTCAAGAGGTATTGGGAAAATATAATCCTCTAAAGGAGATCAATAAGACAGGAAAATAAATTATAACACCCATTAGGATAAGGATCAGAAAAATAAAATTCTTCTGAGGATCAGGAAAATAAAATCCTCCAAAGGACATCAATAAGACAATTTGAGAAACTTGAATGAGTATGGAATATAAGATAATGCTATTGTATCAATAATAAATGCCCCAAATGGGATAATTATATTGTGTTTATGTAAAAAACATTTTCTATTTTTGGAGACACATGCTCCAATATTGGGGGGTGAGAACACATAATGTCTATAATGTCTTTGCAACTGACTCATGAAAAATAATAATTATGAATCTAGATTAATTTAGTCTTGCAAGTTTTCTGTACATTTGAAATTTTTAACACAAAAAATTTAAAATAAGAAGAATAAATAGTGCTTGCTTTGGCAGCACATATACTATAACTGGAAGGATATACAGAAGATTGCCATGTCCCCTGTGCAAGGATGACACTCAAATTCATAAGGCATTCCATATTTTTAAACACCTCTATGGAAATAAACTAGAAAATCTAGAAGAGATGGATAAATTCCTGCACACATACACCCTCCCAAGACTAAACCAAGAAGAAATTGAATCCATGAATATACCAAAAACAAATTCTGAAATTAAGGCAGTAATTAATAGCCTACCCATCAAAAAAAAAAAAAAAAAAAAAAAAAAGCCCATGACCAGAAGGATTTACAGCCAAATTCTACCAAAGGTAAAAAGAGGAGCTGCTATCATTCCTTTTGAAACTAATCCAAAAAATTGAAAAGGAGGGAATCCTCCCTAACTCATTTTATGAGACCAGCATCATCCTGATACCAAAACCTGGCAGAAACACAACAACAACAAAAAAAACCTCAGGCCAATAACCCTGATGAACATTGATGCAAAAATCCTCAATAAAATACTGGCAAACTGAATTCAGCAGCAAATCAAAAAGCTTATCCACCATGATCAAGTTGGCTTTATCCATGAGATTCAAGGCTGGTTCAACATATGCAAATCAATAAAAGTAATCCAACACATAAACAGAACCAATGACAAAAACCAAATGATTATCCAATAGATGCAGAAAAGACCTTCAATAAAACTCAACATCCCTTCATGTTAAAAACTCTCAATAAACTAGGTATTGATGGAATATATCTCAAAATAATAAGAGCTATTTATAACAAATGCATAGCCAATATCATACTGAATGGGCAAAAGCTGGAAGCACTGCCCTTGAAAACTGGCACAACACAAGGATGCCCTCTCTCACCACTCCTATTCAACATAGTATTGGAAGTTCTGGCCAGAGCAATCAGGCAAGGGAAAGAAATAAAGGTATTCAAATAGGAAGACAGGAAGTCAAATTACCTTTTTTTTGCAGATGATATAATCCTATATCTAGAAAACCTCATCATCTCAGCCCCAAAACTCCTTAATCTGGTGAGCAACTTCAGCAAAGTCTCAGGATATGAAATCAATGTGCAAAAATCTCCAGCATTCCTATGCACCAACAGCAGGCAAGCAGAGAACCAAATCATGAGTGAACTCCCATTTACAATTGATACAAAGAGAATAATAAAATACCTAGGAATATAACTTATAAGGGATGTGATGGACCTCTTCAAGGAGAACTACAAACCACTGCTCAAGGAAATAAGAGAGGACACAAATAAATGGAAAAACATTCCATCCTCATGGATAGGAAGAATCAATATCATGAAAATGGCCATACTGCCAAAAGTAATTTATAGATTCAATGCTATTCCCATCAAACTACCAATGACATTCTTCACAGAATTAGAAAAATCTACTTTAAATTTCATATGGAACCAAAAAAGAGCCTGTATAGCTAAGACAATCCTAAGCAAAAGATCAGAACTGGAGTCATCATGCTACCTGACTTCAAACTATACTTCAAGGATACGGTAACCAAAACAGCATGGTACTGGTACCAAAACAGACATACAGACCAATGGAACAGAACAGAGACCTCATAAATAACACCACACATCTACTATCATCTGATCTTTGACAGACCTGACAAAATCAAGCAATGGGGAAAGGATTCCCTATTTAATAAATGGTGCTGGGAAAACTGGCTACCCATATGCAGAAAACTGAAACAGGACTCCTTTCTTACACCTTATACAAAAATTAACTCAAGATAGATTAAAGACTTAAATGTAAAGCCCAAAACCATAAAAACCCTAGAAGAAAACCTAGGCAATACCATTCAGGACTTAGGCATGGGTAAAGACTTTATGATGAAAATGCCAAAAGCAATTGCAACAAAAGCTAAAACTTACAAATGGGATCTAATTAAATTAAAGAGCTTCTGTGCAGCAAAAGAAGCTATAATCAGAGTGAATAGGCAACCTACAGAATTGGAGAAAATTTTTGCAATCTATACATCTGAGAAAGGTCTAATATCCAGAATCTACAAGGAACTTCAACAAATTTACAAGAAAAAAAAAATCAACCCCATCAAAAAGTGGGCAAAAGATATAAACATACACTTTTCAAAAGAAGACATTTATGTGGCCAACAGACATATGAAAAAAAGCTCAACATCACTGACCATTAGAGAAATGCAAATCAAAACCGCAATGAGATACCAACTCACAACAGTCAGAATGGCGATTACTAAAACGTCAAGAAACAATAGATGCTGGTGAGGCTGTGAAGAAATAGGAACACTTTTACACTGTTGGTGAGAATGTAAATTAATTCAACCATTGTGGAAGACAATGTGGCAATTCATCAGGGGTCTAGAACCAGAAATACCATTTGACCCAGCAATCCCATTACTGGGTATATACCCAAAGGAATATAAATAATTCTACTATAAAGACACATGCACACATGTGTTTACTGCAGAACTATTTACAATAGCAAAGACATGGAACCAACCCAAATGCCCATAAATGATAGACTGGATAAAGAAAATATGGTACATATACACCATGGAATACTATGCAGCCATAAAAAGGAATGAGATCATGTCCTTTGCCAAGACACAAATGAAGCTGGAAGCCATTATTCTCAGCAAACTAACACAGTGACAGAAAACGAAACACTGCATGTTCTCACTCATAAGTGGGAGTTGAACAATGAGGACGCATGGACACAGAGAGGGGAACAACATACCAAGGCTAGTCAGGGGTTGAGTGGCGAGGAGAGGAAGAGTACTAGGACAAATAACTAATGCATGTGGGGCTTAAAACCTAGATGACAGGTTGATAGGTGCAACAAACCACCATGGCACACATACACCTACGTAACAGACCTACATGTTCTGCACTTGTATCCTAGAACTTAAAGTAAAAATTTTAAAAAGAATAAATAAAAGGACTAATCTAGAGAAATGCTTGCACAAGTGCATCAGGAGACATATATAAGAATGTACACGTTTATAGCAGCCAATGTGCTCTCATATACTAAAAATGTTACAATGACCTAAATATTCTTAAGTAGTAAAATGGCTAAATACATTATGTTGTATATATAAAATGGAATACTACAGAACAGTGAAAATGAAACAGCTAGAGTTACATATCACAACATGAATAAATCTCCAAAACATAATATTGAGAGAATGAAGCAAGTTGCAAAAGGTATTATATAGTATGATTCCATTTATTTAAAGTTCAGAAATAGGCAAAAGTAAACAGAATTATCAACCAACCCTCTAACAAATTGAGGGTAAAGAGATCAATGTAATACAATAATCTACCATCTGAAAAAAATTGGTAACTTTATTTGAATTGAATATTTTGTCCTTTACCAACCATGTTCTATTATAGGACTGTGCTCAGAAAGCTTTAGATATTATGGTGCCATCATCATGGGTATTAGCTCAGTCAAGATTATTATTTTATTATTATTAGTTTTATATTTATAGTCATTCTAATGGGTGTTATAATTTATGAGTCTGGTGACAACTAGAAGAGCTACAAACTATTCTGTTGATATCTTTCCCTTCGATTCTGAATATATATTCAATCTCAGCACTAGAAATAGCACATACAGTTTTTTATTACTAATTTGTTCCTAGGATCTTTAATTCTTTCTACATTCATCTTCTACATTCAGTACTACTGCCTTTTCTTCTAGTATTGTCAGATTACACTGTGAAATGTCTGCCATTCACTGTCAAAACAGCATCTCCCCACAACAAAAGACAGAAATAGCAGCCTTCCCACAGCCACAGCTAACCAAGGTTTTATGATGATCAAGACACACAGCCATTAATACGCACATGGAGTCATGCTTGGAGTTTGGGGATAAAGACAAACTGAGTCTTGAGTTTAAGAGACCCAAAATCATATCACATGGACAACACTTTAAAGAATATGACTATTTTTTTCTATCAGAATTATCTTTTATTTTTTTTATTACACTTTACATTCTAGGGAACGTGCACAACGTGGAGGTTTGTTACATATGTATACATGTGCCATGTTGGTGTGCTGCACCCAGTAACTCATCATTTACATAAGGTATTTCTCTTAATGCTATCCCTCCCCCCTCCCTACACCCCACAACAGGCCCCAGTGTGTGATGTTCCCCTTCCTATGCCCAAGTGTTCTCATTGTTCAATTCCCACCTATGAGTGAGAACATGCAGTGTTTGGTTTTCTGTCCTTGCGATAGTTTACTGAGAATGATTGTTTCCAGCTTCATCCATGTCCCTACAAAGGACATGAACTCATCATTTTTTATGGCTGCATAGTATTCCATGGTGTATATGTGCCACATTTTCTTAATCCAGTCTATCATTGTTGGACATTTGGGTTGGTTCCAAGTCTTTGCTATTGTGAATAGTGCTGCAATAAACATACGTGTGCATGTGTCTTTATAGCAGCATGATTTATAATCCTTTGGGTATATACCCAGTAATGGGATGGCTGGGTCAAATGGAATTTCTAGTTCTAGATCCCTGAGGAATCGCCACACTGTCTTCCACAATGGTTGAACTAGTTTACACTCCCACCAACAGTGTAAAAGTGTTCCTATTTCTCCACATCCTCTCCAGCACCTGTTGTTTCCTGACTTTTTAATGATTGCCATTCTAACTGGTGTGAGATGGTATCTCATTGTAGTTTTGATTTGCATTTCTCTGATGTCCAGTGATGATGAGCATTTTTTCATGTGTCCGTTGGCTGCATAAATGTCTTCTTTGGAGAAATGTCTGTTCATATCCTTCGCCCACTTGTTGATGGGAATGTTTGCTTTTTTCTTGTAAATTTGAGTTCATTGTAGATTCTGGATATTAGCCGTTTGTCAGATGGGTAGATTGCAAAAATTTTCCCCCATTCTGTAGGTTACCTGTTCACTCTGATGGTAGTTTCTTTTGCTGTGCAGAAGCTCTTCAGTTTAATTAGATCCCATTTGTCTATTTTGGCTTTTGTTGCCATTGCTTTTGGTGTTTTAGACATGAAGTCCTTGCCCATGCCTATGTCCTGAATGGTATTGCCTAGGTTTTATTCTAGGGTTTTTATGATTTTAGGTCTAACATTTAAGTCTTTATTCCATCTTGAATTAATTTTTGTATAAGGTACAAGGAAGGGATCCAGTTTCAACTTTCTACATATGGCTAGCCAGTTTTCCCAGCACCATTTGTTAAATAGGGAATCCTTTCCCCATTTCTTGTTTTTGCCAGGTTTCTCAAAGACCAGATGGTTGTAGATGTGTGGTATTATTTCTGAGGGCTCTGTTCTGTTCCATTGGTCTGTATCTCTGTTTTGGTACCAGTACCATGCTGTTTTGGTTACTATAGCCTTGTAATATAGTTTGAAGTCACGTAGTGTGATGCCTCCAGCTTTGTTCTTTTGGCTTAGGATTGTCTTGGCAATGCGGGCTCTTTTTTGGTTCCATATGAACTTTAAAGTAGTTTTTTCCAATTCTGTGAAGAAAGTCATTGGCAGCTTCATGGGGATGGCATTAAATCTATAAATTACCTTAGGCAGTATGGCCATTTTCACGATATTGATTCTTCCTATCCATGAGCATGGAATGTTCTTCCATTTGTTTGTGTCCTCTTTTATTTTGTTGAGCAGTGGTTTGTAGTTCTCCTTGAAGAGGTCCTTCACATCCCTTGTAAGTTGGATTCCTAAGTATTTTATTCTCTTTGAAGCAATTGTGAATGGGAGTTCACTCATGATTTGGCTCTCTGTTTGTCTGTTATTGGTGTATAGGAATGTTGTGATTTTTGCACATTGATTTTGTATCCTGAGACTTTGCTGAAGTTGTTTATCAGCTTAAGGAGATTTGGGGCTGACATGATGGGGTTTTCTAAGTATATGATCATGTCATCTGCAAACAAGGACAATTTGACTTCCTCTTTTCCTAATTGAATACCCTTTATTTCTTTGTCCTGCCTGATTGCCATAGCCAGAACTTCCAACACTATGTTGAATAGGAGTGGTGTGAGAGGGCATCCCTGTCTTGTGCCAGTTTTCAAAGGGAATGCTTCCAGCTTTTGCCAATTCAGTATGATATTGGCTGTATGTTTGTTATAAATAGCTCTCATTATTTTGAGATACATCCCATCAATACCTAGTTTATTCAGAGTTTTTAGCATGAAGGACTGTTGAATTTTGACAAAGGCCTTTTCTGCATCTATTGAGATAATCATGTGGTTTTTGTCTTTGGTTCTGTTTATAAGATGGATTATGTTTATTGATTTGCGTATGTTGAACCAGCCTTGCATCCCAGGGATGAAGCCCACTTGATCATGGTGGATAAGCTTTTTGATGTGCTGTTGGATTCGGTTTGCCAGTATTTTATTGAGGATTTTTGCACTGATGTTCATCAGGGATATTGGTCTAAAATTTTCTTTTTTGTTGTTGTGTATCTGCCAGGCTTTGGTATTAGGATGATGCTGGCCTCATAAAATGAGTTTGGGAAGATTCTGTCTTTTTCTATTGATTGGAATAGTTTCAGAAGGAATGGTACCAGCTCCTCTTTGTACCTCTGGTAGAATTTGGTTGTGAATCCATCTGGTCCTGGACTTTTTTTGGTTGGTAGGCTATTAATTATTGCCTCAATTTCAGAGCTGGTTATTGGTCTATTCAGGGATTCAACTTCTTCCTGGTTTAGTCTTGGGAGGGTGTATGTGTCGAGGAATTTATCCATTTCTTCTAGATTTTCCAGTGTATTTGCGTAGAGGTGTTTATAGTATTCTGTGATGGTAGTTTGCATTTCTGTGGGATCAGTGGTGATATCCCCTTTATCTTTTTTTATTGCGTCTATTTGATTCTTCTCTCTTTCCTTCTTTCTTAGTCTTGATAGCGGTCTATCAGTTTTGTTGATCTTTTCAAAAAACCAGTTCCTGGATTCATTGATTTTTTGAAGGGATTTTCTTGTCTCTATCTCCTTCAGTTCTGCTCTGATCTTAGTTATTTCTTGCCTTCTGCTAGCTTCTGAATGTATTTGTTTTTGTTCTCTGGTTCTTTTAATTGTGATGTTAGGGTGTCAATTTTAGATCTTTCCTGCTTTCTCTTGTGGGCATTTAGTGCTATAAATTTCCCTCTACACACTGCTTTAAATGTATCCCAGAGATTCTGGTATGTTTTGTCTTTGTTCTCATTGGTTTCAAATAACTTCTTTATTTCTGCCTTCATTTCGTTATGTACCCAGTAGTCATTCAGGAGCAGGTTGTTCAGTTTCCATGTAGTTGTGCGGTTTCGAGTGAGTTTCTTAATCCTGAGTTCTAATTTGATTGCACTGTGGTCTGAGAGACAGTTTGCTATAATTTCTGTTCTTTTACATTTGCTGAGGAGTGCTTTACTTCCAACTATGTGGTCAATTTTGGAATAAGTGGGACGTGGTGCTGAGAAGAATGTATATTCTGTTGATTTGGGGTGGAGACTTCTGTAGATGTCTATTAGGTCTGCTTGGTGCAGAGGTGAGTTCAAGTCCGGGATATCCTTGTTAACTTTCTGTCTTGTTGATCTGTCTAATGTTGACAGTGTCGTGTTAAAGTCTCCCATTATTATTGTGTGGGGGTCTAAGTCTCTTTGTAGGTCTCAAGGACTTGCTTTATGAATCTGGGTGCTCCTGTATTGGGTGCATATATATTTAGGATAGTTAGCTGTTCTTGTTGAATGGAACCCTTTACCATTATGTATTGGCCCTCTTTGTCTCTTTTGATCTTTTTTGGTTTAAAGTCTGTTTTATCAGAGACTAGGATTGCAACCCCTGCTTTTTTTTGTTTTCCATTTGCTTGGTAGATCTTCCTCCATCCCTTTATTTTGAGCCTATGTGTGTCTCTGCAAGTGAGATGGGTTTCCTGAATACAGCACACTGATGGGTCTTGACTCTTTATCCAATTTGCCAGTCTGTGTCTTTTAATTGGGGCATTTAGCCCATTTACATTTAAGGTTAATATTATTATGTGTGTATATCCAGTAATGGGATGGCTGGCTCAAATGGTATTTCTAGTTCTAGATCCCTGAGGAATCGCCACACTGACTTCCACAATGGTTGAACTAGTTTGCAATCCCACCAATATACCCAAAGGATTATAAAACATGCTGCTATAAAGACACATGCACACCTATGTTTATTGTGTTTATTCACAATAGCAAAGACTTGGAACCAACCCAAATGTCCAACAATGATAGACTGGATTAAGAAAATGCGGCACATATACACCATGGAATACTATGCAGCCATAAAAAAGGATGAGTTCATGTCCTCTGTAGGGACATGGATGAAGCTGGAAACTATCATTCTCAGCAAACTATCGCAAGGACAAAAAACCAAACACTGCATGTTCTCACTCATAGGTGGGAATTGAACAATGAGAACACTTGGACACAGGAAGGGGAACATCACACAATGGGGCCAGTTGTGGGGTGTGGAGAGGGGGGAGGGATAGCATTAGGAGATATACCTAATGTTAAATGACGAGTTACTGGGTGCAGCACACCAACATGGCACATGTATACATATGTAACTAACCTGCACGTTGTGCACATGTACCCTAAAACTTAAAGTATAATAAAAAAAATATTGTTATGTGTGAATTTGATCCTGTCATTATAATGTTAGCTGGTTATTTTGCTCGTTAGTTGATGCAGTTTCTTCCTAGCGTCGTTGGTCTTTACAATTTGGCATGTTTTTGCAGTGGCTGGTACCAGCTCTTCCTTTCCATGTTCAGTGCTTCCTTCAGGAGCTCTTGTAAGGCAGGCATGGTGGTGACAAAATCTCTCAGCATTTGCTTGTCTGTAAAGTATTTTATTTCTCCTTCACTTATGAAGCTTAGTTTGGCTGGATATCAAATTCTGGGTTGAAAGTTCTTTTCTTTAAGAATGTTGAATATTGGCCCCCACTCTCTTCTGGCTTGTAGGGTTTCTGCTGAGATACCCACTGTTAGTCTGATGGGCTTCCCTTTGTGGGTAACCCGACCTTTCTCTCTGGCTGCCCTTAACATTTTTTCCTTCATTTCAACCTTGGTGAATCTGACAATTACGTGTCTTGGGGTTGCTCTTCTCAAGGAGTATCTTTGTGGCATTCTCTGTATTTCCTGAATTTGAATGTTGGCCTGCCTTGCTAGGTTGAGGAAGTTCTCCTGGATAATATCCTGAAGAGTGATTTCCAACTTGGTTGCATTCTCCGCGTCACTTTCAGATACACCAGTCAAATGTAGATTTGGTCTTTTCACATAGTCCCATATTTCTTGGAGGCTTTGCTGATTTCTTTTTACTCTTGTTTTCTCTCAACTACTCTTCTCGCTTCATTTGACTCATTTGATCTTCAATCACTGATATCCTTTCTTCCACTTGATCTAATCGGCTACTGAAGATTGTGGATGTGTCACGTAGTTCTCGTGCCATGGTTTTCAGCTCCATCAGGTCATTTAAGCTCTTCTCTACGCTGTTTATTCTAGTTAGCCATTCATCTAATCTTTTTTCAAGGTTTTTAGCTTCCTTGCGAAGGGTTCAAACATCCTCCTTTAGCTCGGAGAAGTTTGTTACTACCAATCTTCTGAAGCCTACTTCTGTCAATTCATCAAAGTCATTGTCCATCCAGCTTTGTTCCGTTGCTGGCGAGGAGCTGCGATCCTCTGGAGAGAAGAGGCGGTCTGATTTTTAGAATTTTCAGCTTTTCTGCTCTGGTTTCTCTCCACCTTTGTGGTTTTATCTACCTTTGGTCTTTGTTGATGCTGACCTACAGATAGGGTTTTGGTGTGGATGTCCTTTTTGTTGATGTTAAGGAATATGACTATTAAGTTATTCCTCCGTGGTGGGAATAAGGGAGACACATTTGATAACTAACTTAAAATATCTAAAGAATTGTCACATGGAAGCTGGATTTAACTTGTTCTTCATGACCCCAAGGGATAGAACTTGAATCAATAGGTCAAAGCTTCAGAAAGACAAATTTGTTCAATTTAAGGAAGAGCCACCCAGAAATACAATAACCAGTCCCTCAGAAAAGTGAACTACATATTTCAAGAAGCATTCTAAAAGAGTTTAGGCAAGCAGTAAGATGGGTTCAGAGAATAAAATGATTGATTTTTCAGGGTTCTTAGAGTCTGGGTTCTAGGCATGGAAGAGGATGCTGAGGTAGTAGTCAAGAGGCCTGGGTTATTGCCCTTGCACATCCACTAACTAGATAGATGACCACCATTTTGAGACTTTTCTCTTCTAATAAGGGTATTAGGATAAATGGATAGTGTTGTCACTGCCTTGATAGAAATAACAGCTCCATATCAGATTAATTTCACACTGATGTCAACCTTACAACAGAAAATCTGTTTCACTGAAGGCAACCTAATTTACTAACACTGGGAATCTGATATAGACCAGCAAGGTTTGGAGCATTTATTCTCTGGGGAAACATCAGTAGAAGTATAATGTACACATCACCACCACGGAGTTAAAAAAAAAAGTTTAATCAAAGAGAAAGATTCCACAGGAGCTAGGCTTGATGCTCAAGAAGAATCATTTTGCCTTTGAGAGGAATTACTCCTCCAAGAGTAGCTTTACCCTTGGCTTCTATGAAATATTGGTATATCACCTGGAAATAAGCACCACAACATTTTCTTTTTTATTGGTTTATTATGTTGCTGTATAATACCTAATGAACACAGTCAGTTGGCTAAATATTGTCCACATTCTGAGTCTATGTAAAGGTATGCAGGTATAGCTTATAGAGTCCTTGATATCCCCTGAACCAAGAGAGTCAATTATGTTTATTTTATTACTATAAATTTTACAGAGGAGAGAAATATTTTTTTCTATATTCCAGGGCAATGGAAAGATGCTTCATTTCTTTTCATACTGTTTCTAACCCTATGTTAGGAATATAGTCACTGTTATCTACTTTTCAACTATACAGCAATTTTTAGCAATTTCTGATGGGGAAATGTATCAGTCAAGTTCCCTGCAGGAAACAGAATTCCACTCAGGTGATTCAATTAAGAAATTTTTTAAAAAAACTACTTACAGATGTGTGGCTAGGGTTAAGGTTAAACAAGGAAGGATGAGGCCATTATGACCCAAAGATTAGTCATAGCTGGAAGCCATTACCAATCCTAGGTTTGAAAGGGAACATGGAGGAAATAGTGTTTTAGGAACCAGTGAGAGCTGGGACTATGGAGGAAGGGATACTTAGCAAAAGCTGTAGCAATGGAGAGACTCAACCACAGCCAAAACCAGAACCAACTCAGCCAGGGTGAAACAGGGAAGGGATATCCCGGCTACTCTCTCTTTATGTCCTATGATCTCATGCTGCTGACTCCTTTTAGCTGAGTCAACAATGCAAACTCAGAAATTTAGTTTGGAATAGTTTGTCCAATTACTATCTCCTAACTCCCATTTCTGATTATTTCCCATATATATCACACTCTCAAAGGGATATAGTCTAGAAAATTTGTTAATGACTACCTAACCTATAAATAATGGAATCCATATGTCACTTGGAGAGAAAAAAAAGATGCATAGGGCTACATTTATTGTAATTTAATCATCATTCAAAAATTAATTTAGCCACTACTATATAGTGCTGAAGACAGAAATGGTATCAGACTTCATGCATCTTCTACAATATAAAAATGCCTAGAGACATGTTCAGTTAAAAAGAGAGAAGATATACACACTACATGTAGATATAGAAGTTTGCCCACATGCACATGTGTCTGTAGTGTGCATGTATGGGTGTATATGTGTATGTGTGCCTATAGTGAGAATGTGTATATCTGTGCTGATATTCTGCACTTCCCCTCTCCATGACCCTCCCCAAATCCACTCTCCACTCTTCTCCAACTGCTTTGTGCCCTAAATGACTGAACTATATGAATTACATCAATGGATTTCCTCATCCTCTAGCTTCTTGTTGGGTTCAGACAATGAGTGGAACGCCAGAAGAAAATCAGAAGGCAGCAAATAAGATATATCAGAGTATTTATTTCTCTGAGTCTCCTTGCAAAGTCACTATGACTCATCATATCCTCAACTAAAAATCACAGTTCCTATCAAGCAATCCATCTTTCTCTGCAGGTTCCAGTTGCTGCTCTCTCTCCTTGTCCCTTCGGTAGTGACGGCACCTTGCTCTGACTATCTCCTGGGGTACTACTTCACTAACCCTGTGGTTTCCCTGTACCCTGCCCATATCTTGTAAATTATGCCTTTATTAAACTCTTCTCAGGTTACATAATTTGACAGTGCCATCTGTTTACAGCAGGAACCTTGATGTATACATTACGCCCCAACAACTTACAACGATTAATAGTATTTTTCTAGTCTTACTGCAACATTCCAGGCTTTAGAAAATTGTATTTCCTTGGTAATAATCTAGGTATATCAGACTGCAAGGTCTTCAAGAGCAGAGATCATACCATACACACAGTTGTAACATTTGCAGGCATAAATAGCTCCTGCTGCTCACAGTTGGCAATCAACAATTATTCTGAGGAATTGAATTGACCTAAAACAAAACATAGCTATTCCCAGGCTATGATCTTGAATGAACAAAATAAACATTATCTTAATCACGACGTTAAAAAAAATCATGTGATCCTATTTACTGATGTTAACTTGCTGAACATAATACCCATTTTAATGTCTTCTTCATGCAGAAATAAATGGTGTTTAAGAGTATTGGCCAGGCACCATGGCTCATGCCTGTAATCCCAGCACTTTGGGAGGCCAAGGTGGGTGGATCACTTGAAGTCAAGAGTTTGAGACCAGCCTGGCCAACATGGTGAAACCCCCTCTCTACTAAAAATACAAAAACTAGCCAGGCGTGGTGGTGGGCGCCTGTAAGCCCAGCTACTCTGGAGGCTGAGGCAGGAGAACTGCTTGAACCCGGGGGGTGGAGTTTGCAGTGAGCCGAGATTGTGCCACTGCACTCTACCCTGGGCGACAGAGAGAGACTCCATCTCAAAAGAAAAAAGAAATATTCTACAGCTGGCTGTGTAATTACATTAATCAAAGAGTGCTTCTTCTGTTGGTTTCTTTGCAGTTGCCATAGTAGCAACCACATGTTTTCAAGTAGAGAGCACACATAGAACCCATCCTTAATTACACGTGTAGCACTACATTTCAGAGAACACAATAAATATGGAGGTCATGAGTGCATGGAAAAGAAGTATGATGACAAAAGATTTGCTCTCCAGCTTTTCTATCTTTTGATTATTCCTAACCCCTTTATTAGTATGTTCTGATTCCCTATTATCCCTTTTCATTCACTGCAGTATAAAGGTCTCTGCACCCACCCACCCAATTACAAACATCTGCTACTGAAATGACCCAGAACTGTCCTTTAAAAAAAGTCAGTAGGAAATTAAGTCCTGCCATAACAAAAATACAATGGAATGAAAGTATCTACTGATACTTTTCTAAGAAAACTGACACCACCCTCGGTCTTTTCTCATATTATGGCAGAGCATCAAGGTCTTCCTTTCTAAGTAGCCTTTGTATTACGAAGGGTTCTTATTTGTGATTCAATACCTTGCCTAGCTGTGCAATATAGGTTATAGATCTTGCCATTCACAAGTATATTGCCAAGATTAGCTAATTATTGCACATTTCAAAAATAAACAAACCAGAGAGCATAATATCAAGGGTAAAACAAATTTTCCAATCAAAGACTCTTCATTACATCAAGACTAAATAATAAGTTATCTTTTTCTCTCTCTCTATTTTC